>NC_000015.10:17499051-17751900 GCF_000001405.40 Homo sapiens
AACATTCTCAGAAATTGTTTGTCATGTGTGCTTTCCAATTACCAAGTTGAACCTATCTTGTGATTGAGCAGTTTTGAATCTCTCTTTTTGTGGAATCGGCAAGTGGATATTTTTAGCCCTTTGCGGACTGTGGTGGAAAAGGAATTATCTTCAAATCAATTCTACACAGAAGCATTCAGACAAACTTCTTTGTGATGAGTGCATTCGTCACACAGAGTTGATCCTTTCCTTTGATTGAGCAACTCTGAAACACTATTTTAGAGGGTCTGCAAGTGGATATTTTAGAGCTTTGGGACAATTGTGGAAAAGTAAATATCTTCACATAAAAACTACACAGAAGCATTCTGAGAAACTTCTTTGTGAGATGTGCATTCAACTCAGAGTTGAACCTATCTTTTCATTGAGCAGTTTTGAATCTCTCTTTTTGTAGACTCTGCTTGCGGATATTTGGAGAGCTTTGAGGCCTATTGTGGAAAAGGAAATATCTTCACATAAAAACGTACAGAAGCATTCTGAGAAACTTCTTTGTGAGGTGTGCATTCAACCACAGAATTGAACCTATCTTTTGATTGAGAAGTTTTGAATCTCTCTTTTTGTAGAAGCTGTATGTGGATATTTGGAGACGTTTGTGGCCTATGGTGGAAAAGGAAATACCTTGAAATAAAAACTAGACAGACGCATTTTGAGAAAATTCTCTGTGCTGTGTGCATTCATATCACATGGTTGAAACTACCTTTGGATTGAGCAGTTTTGAATCTCACATTTTGTACCATCTGCAATGGATATTTGGAGCCCTTTCTGGTCTGTGGTGGAAAAGGAACTATCCTCAAATAGAAACTACACAGAAGTATTCTGAGAAACTTCTTCGTGATGTGTGCATTCATCTCACAGAGTTGAACCTTTGTTTTGCTTGAGCAGTTTTGAGACCATCTTTCCATAGGATCTGGAAGTGAATATTTGGAAGGCTTTGAGATCTATTTTGGAGAAAGAGATATCTTCATATAAAAACTACACAGAAGCATTCTGAGAAACATCCTTGTGAGGTGTGCACTGAAGTCACAGAGTTGAAACTGTCTTTTGATTCAGCAGTTTTGAATCTCTCTTTTTGCAGAATCTGTGAGTGGATATTTGGAGCGCTTTGAGGCCTACTGTGGAAAACCAAATATGTTCACATAAAAACTACACAGAAGCATCCTGAGAAACTTTTTTTGTGATGTGGTCTTTCAGCTAATGGAGTAGAAACTATCTTTTGATTGAGCAGTTTTGAATCTCTCTTTTTGCAGAATCTACGAGTGGATAATTGGAGAACTTTGAGGCGTACTGTGGAAAATCGAATATCTTCGCATAAAAACTACACAGAAGCATTCTGAGAAACTTCTCTGTCATACGTACATTCATCTCACAGAGTTGATCCTATTTCATGATTGAGCAGTTTTGGAACACTCTTTTTGTAGAATCTGCAAGTGAATATTTGGAGCTCTTTGGGGCCTACTGTGGAAAAACAAATATCTTCACATAAAAACTACACAGAAGCATTCTGAGAAACTACTTTGTGATGTGTGCATTCATCCCACAGAGTAGAACCTTTCATTTGATTGAGCAGTTTCGAAACACTCTTTTGGTGGAATCTGCAAGTGGACATTTGGAAAGCTTTGAGGCCTATTGTGGAAAGGGAAATATCTTCAAATAAAAACCACCCAGAAGTACTCTGTGAAACTTCTTTGCGATGTATGCATTCAACTCACAGTGTTGAACCTATGTTTTGATTGAGCAGTTTGGAATCTCTCTTTCTGTAGAATCTGCAAGTGAATATTTGGAGCCCTATTTCGCCCTATACTGGAAAAGCAATTATCTTCAAATAAAAACTGCACAGAAGCACTCAGAGAAACTTCTTTGTGATGAATGCATTCATCACACAGAGTTGAACCTTTGTTTTGATTTAGCAGTTTGAGACAATCTTTCCGTAGAATCTTGAAGTGAATATTTGGAGGGCTTGGAGTTCTGTTTTAGAGAAGAAGATATCTTCATCAAAAACTACACAGAAGCTTTCCGAGAAACTTCTTTGTGATGTGTGCATTCAACTATCGGAGTTGAACCTATCTTATGATTGAGCAGTTTGGAAACACTCTTTGTAGAGTCTGCAAGTGGATATTTACA
Source organism: Homo sapiens (assembly GCF_000001405.40). Classification (NCBI taxonomy): domain Eukaryota; kingdom Metazoa; phylum Chordata; class Mammalia; order Primates; family Hominidae; genus Homo; species Homo sapiens. The sequence goes on from NC_000015.10 coordinate 17,501,209, forward strand.
GAGATTTGAGGCCTATTGTGGAAAAGGAAGTATCTTCACATAAAAACCACACAGAAGCACTCTGAAAAACATCTTTGGGATGTGTGCATTCAACTAACCGTGTTGAAACAATGTTTTGATTGAGCAGCTTAGAATCTCTCTTTTTGTAGGAAATGCAAGTGGATATTTGGAGCCCCATTTCGCCCTATGGTGGAAAACGAAACATACTCACAAAAAAGCTGCAGAGAAGCATTCTGAGAAACTTCTTTGCGATGTTGGCATTCAACTCACAGAGTCGAATCTATCTTTTGATAGAGCAGTTTTGTATCTCTCTTTTTGCAGAATCTGCAAGTGGATATTTGGAAAGCTTTGAGGCCTATTGTGGAAAGGGAAATATCCTCAAATAAAAACTACCCAGAAGCACTCTGTGAAACTTCTTTGTGATGTGTGCATTCAACTCACAGTGTTGAACCTATGTTTTGATTGAGCAGTTTGGAATCTCTCCTTTTGTAGAATCTGCAAGTGAATATTTGGAGCCCTATTTCGCCCTATACTGGAAAAGCAAATATCTTCAAATAAAAACTACACAGAGGCATTCAGAGAAACTTCTCTGTGATGAGTGCATTCATCACACAGAGTTGAACATTTGTTTAGATTTAGCAGTGTTGAGACAATCTTTCCGTAGAATCTTGAAGTGAATATTTGGAGGGCTTTGAGACCTGCTTTGGAGAAGGAGATATCTTCATATAAAAACTACACAGAAGCTTTCTGAGAAACACCCTTGTGAGGTGTGCATTGAAGTCACAGAGTTAAACCTATCTTTTGATTCAGCAGATTTGAATCTCTCTTTTTGCAGAATCTGCGAGTGGATATTTGGAGTGCTTGGAAGCCTGCTGTGGAAAATCAAATATCTTCACAAAAAAAACTACACAGAAGCATTCTGAGAAACTTCTTTGTGATGTGTGCATTGATCTCACAGAGTTGAAAGTTTATTTTGATTGAGCTGTTTTGAAACACTCTTTTTCTAGAATCTGCAAGTGGATAATTGGGGAGATTTGAGGCATATTGTGGAAAAGCAAATATCTTCATATAAAAACTATACAGAAACCTTCTGAGAAACATCTTTGTGATGTGTGCATTCAGCTCACAGAGCTGGACCTAACTTTTGAGTGACCAGTTTTGAATCTTTCTTTTTGTACAATATGCAAGTGGATATTTGGAGCGATTTGAGGCCTACATTTGAAAATCAAATATCTTCCCTTAAAAACTACACAGAAACATTCTCAGAAATTGTTTGTCATGTGTGCTTTCCAATTACCAAGTTGAACCTATCTTGTGATTGAGCAGTTTTGAATCTCTCTTTTTGTGGAATCGGCAAGTGGATATTTTTAGCCCTTTGCGGACTGTGGTGGAAAAGGAATTATCTTCAAATCAATTCTACACAGAAGCATTCAGACAAACTTCTTTGTGATGAGTGCATTGGTCACACAGAATTGAAACTTCCCTTTGATTGAGCAATTCTGAAACACTCTTTTGGAGGGTCTGCAAGTGGATATTTTAGAGCTTTGGGACAACTGTGGAAAAGTAAATATCTTCACATAAAAACTACACGGAAGCATTCTGAGAAACTTCTTTGGAGGTGTGCATTCAACTCACAGAGTTGAACCTATCTTTTCATTGAGCAGTTTTGAATCTCTCATTTTGTAGACTCTGCTCGCAGATATTTGGAGAGCTTTGAGGCCTATTGTGGAAAAGGAAATATCTTCACATAAAAACACACAGAAGCATTCTGAGAAACTTCTTTGTGAGGTGTGCATTCAACCACAGAGTTGAACCTATCTTTTGATTGAGCAGTTTTGAATCTCTCTTTTTGTAGAAGCTGCATGTGGCTATTTGGAGACGTTTGTGGCCTATGGTGGAAAAGGAAATACCTTCAAATAAAAACTAGACAGAAGCATTTTGAGAAACTTCTCTGTGCTGTGTGCATTCATATCACAGGGTTGAAACTACCTTTTGATTGAGCAGTTTTGAATCTCTCTTTTTGTACCATGTGCAAGTGGATATTTGGAGCCCTTTGTGGTCTATGGTGGAAAAGGAACTATCCTCAAATAAAAACTACACAGAAGTACTCTGAGAAACTTCTTTGTGATGTGGGCATTCATCTCACAGAGTTGAACCTTTGGTTTGATTGAGCAGTTTTGAGACAATCTTTCCATAGAATCTGGAAGTGAATATTTGGAGAACTTTGAGATCCATTTTGGAGAAGGAGATATCTTTATATGAAAACTACACAGAAGCATTCTGAGAAACATCTTTGTGAGGTGTGCACTGAAGTCACAGAGTTCAAACTACCTTTTGATTCAGCAGTTTTGAATCTCTCTTTTTGCAAAATCTGTGAGTGGATATTTGGAGCGCTTTGTGGCCCACTGTGGAAAACCAAATATCTTCACATAAAAACTACACAGAAGCATCCTGAGAAACTTCTTTGTGATGTGGTCTTTCAACTAATAGAGTTGAACCTATATTTCGATTGAGCAGTTTTGAATCTCTCTTTTTGCAGAATCTGCAAGTGGATATTTGGAGAACTTTGAGGCCTACTGTGGAAAATCAAATATCTTCCCATAAAAACTGCACAGAAGCATTCTGAGAAACTTCATTGTTTTGTGTGCATTCAACTCACAGAGTTGAACCTATCTATTGATTGAGCAGTTTTGAAAAACTCTTTTTGTAGAAACTGCAAGTGGATATTTGAAGCCCTTTGCGCCCTGTGGTGGAAAAGGAAATATCTTCAAATAAAAACTACACAGAAGCATTCAAAGAAACTTCCTTGTGAAGTGTGCATTCATCTCACAGAGTTGAACCTTTCTTTTGATTGAGCAGTTTTGAAACACTCTTTCTGTAGAATCGGCAAGTGGATATTTGGAGCTATTTGAGGCCTACTGTGGAAAAGGAAATATCTTCACATAAAAACTACACAGAAGTACTCTGTGAAACTTCTTTGCGATGTATGCATTCAACTCACAGTGTTGAACCTATGTTTTGATTGAGCAGTTTGGAATCTCTCTTTCTGTAGAATCTGCAAGTGAATATTTGGAGCCCTATTTCGCCCTATACTGGAAAAGCAATTATCTTCAAATAAAAACTGCACAGAAGCACTCAGAGAAACTTCTTTGAGATGAATGCATTCATGACACAGAGTTGAAACTTTGTTTTGATTTAGGAGCTTTGAGACAATCTTTCCGTAGAATCTTGAAGTGAATATTTGGAGGGCTTGGAGTTCTGTTTTAGAGAAGAAGATATCTTCATCAAAAACTACACAGAAGCTTTCTGAGAAACTTCTTTGTGATGTGTGCATTCAACTATCGGAGTTGAACCTATCTTATGATTGAGCAGTTTGGAAACACTCTTTGTAGAGTCTGCAAGTGGATATTTACAGAGATTTGAGGCCTATTGTGGAAAAGGAAGTATCTTCACATAAAAACCACACAGAAGCAATCTGAAAAACATCTTTGGGATGTGTGCATTCAACTAACCGTGTTGAAACAATGTTTTGATTGAGCAGCTTAGAATCTCTCTTTTTGTAGGAAATGCAAGTGGATATTTGGAGCCCCATTTCGCCCTATGGTGGAAAACGAAACATACTCACAAAAAAGCTGCAGAGAAGCATTCTGAGAAACTTCTTTGCGATGTTGGCATTCAACTCACAGAGTCGAATCTATCTTTTGATAGAGCAGTTTTGTATCTCTCTTTTTGCAGAATCTGCAAGTGGATATTTGGAAAGCTTTGAGGCCTATTGTGGAAAGGGAAATATCCTCAAATAAAAACTACCCAGAAGCACTCTGTGAAACTTCTTTGTGATGTGTGCATTCAACTCACAGTGTTGAACCTATGTTTTGATTGAGCAGTTTGGAATCTCTCCTTTTGTAGAATCTGCAAGTGAATATTTGGAGCCCTATTTCGCCCTATACTGCAAAAGCAAATATCTTCAAATAAAAACTACACAGAGGCATTCAGAGAAACTTCTCTGTGATGAGTGCATTCATCACACAGAGTTGAACATTTTTTTAGATTTAGCAGTGTTGAGACAATCTTTCCGTAGAATCTTGAAGTGAATATTTGGAGGGCTTTGAGACCTGCTTTGGAGAAGGAGATATCTTCATATAAAAACTACACAGAAGCTTTCTGAGAAACACCCTTGTGAGGTGTGCATTGAAGTCACAGAGTTAAACCTATCTTTTGATTCAGCAGATTTGAATCTCTCTTTTTGCAGAATCTGCGAGTGGATATTTGGAGTGCTTGGAAGCCTGCTGTGGAAAATCAAATATCTTCACAAAAAAAACTACACAGAAGCATTCTGAGAAACTTCTTTGTGATGTGTGCATTGATCTCACAGAGTTGAAAGTTTATTTTGATTGAGCTGTTTTGAAACACTCTTTTTCTAGAATCTGCAAGTGGATAATTGGGGAGATTTGAGGCATATTGTGGAAAAGCAAATATCTTCATATAAAAACTATACAGAAACCTTCTGAGAAACATCTTTGTGATGTGTGCATTCAGCTCACAGAGCTGGACCTAACTTTTGAGTGACCAGTTTTGAATCTCTCTTTTTGTACAATATGCAAGTGGATATTTGGAGCGATTTGAGGCCTACATTTGAAAATCAAATATCTTCCCTTAAAAACTACACAGAAACATTCTCAGAAATTGTTTGTCATGTGTGCTTTCCAATTACCAAGTTGAACCTATCTTGTGATTGAGCAGTTTTGAATCTCTCTTTTTGTGGAATCGGCAAGTGGATATTTTTAGCCCTTTGCGGACTGTGGTGGAAAAGGAATTATCTTCAAATCAATTCTACACAGAAGCATTCAGACAAACTTCTTTGTGATGAGTGCATTGGTCACACAGAATTGAACCTTCCCTTTGATTGAGCAATTCTGAAACACTCTTTTGGAGGGTCTGCAAGTGGATATTTTAGAGCTTTGGGACAACTGTGGAAAAGTAAATATCTTCACATAAAAACTACACGGAAGCATTCTGAGAAACTTCTTTGGAGGTGTGCATTCAACTCACAGAGTTGAACCTATCTTTTCATTGAGCAGTTTTGAATCTCTCATTTTGTAGACTCTGCTCGCAGATATTTGGAGAGCTTTGAGGCCTATTGTGGAAAAGGAAATATCTTCACATAAAAACACACAGAAGCACTCTGAGAAACTTCTTTGTGACGTGTGCATTCAACTCACAGGGTTGAACCTATCTTTTGATTGAGAAGTTTTGAATCTCTCTTTTTGTAGAAGCTGCATGTGGATATTTGGAGAAGTTTGTGGCCTGTGGTAGAAAAGATAATATCTTCAAATAAAAACTAGACAGAAGCATTTTGAGAAAATTCTCTGTGCTGTGTGCATTCATATCACATGGTTGAAACTACCTTTGTATTGAGCCGTTTTGAATCTCTCTTTTTGTACCATCTGCAATGGATATTTGGAGCCCATTTTGGTCTGTGGTGGAAAAGGAACTATCCTCAAATAGAAACTACACAAATGTATTGTGGGAAACTTCTTTGTGATGTGTGCATTCATTTCGCAGTGTTGAACTTTTGGTTTGATTGAGCAGTTTTGAGACAATCTTTCCATAGTATCTGGAAGTGAATATTTGGGGAACTTTGAGATCCATTTTGGAGAAGGAGATATCCTTATATAAAAACTACACAGAAGCATTCTGAGAAACATCTTTGTGAGGTGTGCACTGAAGTCACAGAGTTGAAACTGTCTTTTGATTCAGCAGTTTTGAATTTCTCTTTTCGCATAATCTGTGAGTGGATATTTGGAGCGCTTTGAGGCCTACTGTGGAAAACCAAATATCTTCACTTAAAAACTACGCAGAAGCATCCTGAGAAACTTCTTGGTGATGTGGTCTTTCAACTAATAGAGTTGAACCTATCTTTTGATTGAGCAGTTTTGAATCTCTCTTTTTGCAGAATCTGCAAGTGGATATTTGGAGAACTTTGAGGCCTACTGTGGAAAATCAAATATCTTCCCATAAAAACTACACAGAAGCATTCTGAGAAACCTCTTTGTCATACATACATTCATCTCACAGGGTTGATCCTATTTTATGATTGAGCACTTTTGAAACACTCTTTTTGTAGAATCTGCAAGTGAATATTTGGAGCTCATTGGGGCCTACTGTGGAAAAACCAATATCTTCACATAAAAACTACACAGAAGCATTCTGAGAAACTACTTTGTGATGTGTGCATTCATCCCACAGAGTAGAACCTTTCTTTTGATTGAGCAGTTTCGAAACACTCTTTTGGTGGAATCTGCAAGTGGACATTTGGAAAGCTTTGAGGCCTATTGTGGAAAGGGAAATATCTTCAAATAAAAACCACCCAGAAGTACTCTGTGAAACTTCTTTGCGATGTATGCATTCAACTCACAGTGTTGAACCTATGTTTTGATTGAGCAGTTTGGAATCTCTCTTTCTGTAGAATCTGCAAGTGAATATTTGGAGCCCTATTTCGCCCTATACTGGAAAAGCAATTATCTTCAAATAAAAACTGCACAGAAGCACTCAGAGAAACTTCTTTGTGATGAATGCATTCATCACACAGAATTGAACCTTTGTTTTGATTTAGCAGTTTGAGACAATCTTTCCGTAGAATCTTGAAGTGAATATTTGGAGGGCTTGGAGTTCTGTTTTAGAGAAGAAGATATCTTCATCAAAAACTACACAGAAAGCTTTCTGAGAAACTTCTTTGTGATGTGTGCATTCAACTATCGGAGTTGAACCTATCTTATGATTGAGGAGTTTGGAAACACTCTTTGTAGAGTCTGCAAGTGGATATTTACAGAGATTTGAGGCCTATTGTGGAAAAGGAAGTATCTTCACATAAAAACCACACAGAGCACTCTGAAAAACATCTTTGGGATGTGTGCATTCAACTAACCGTGTTGAAACAATGTTTTGATTGAGCAGCTTAGAATCTCTCTTTTTGTAGGAAATGCAAGTGGATATTTGGAGCCCCATTTCGCCCTATGGTGGAAAACGAAACATACTCACAAAAAAGCTGCAGAGAAGCATTCTGAGAAACTTCTTTGCGATGTTGGCATTCAACTCACAGAGTCGAATCTATCTTTTGATAGAGCAGTTTTGTATCTCTCTTTTTGCAGAATCTGCAAGTGGATATTTGGAAAGCTTTGAGGCCTATTGTGGAAAGGGAAATATCCTCAAATAAAAACTACCCAGAAGCACTCTGTGAAACTTCTTTGTGATGTGTGCATTCAACTCACAGTGTTGAACCTATGTTTTGATTGAGCAGTTTGGAATCTCTCCTTTTGTAGAATCTGCAAGTGAATATTTGGAGCCCTATTTCGCCCTATACTGGAAAAGCAAATATCTTCAAATAAAAACTACACAGAGGCATTCAGAGAAACTTCTCTGTGATGAGTGCATTCATCACACAGAGTTGAACATTTGTTTAGATTTAGCAGTGTTGAGACAATCTTTCCGTAGAATCTTGAAGTGAATATTTGGAGGGCTTTGAGACCTGCTTTGGAGAAGGAGATATCTTCATATAAAAACTACACAGAAGCTTTCTGAGAAACACCCTTGTGAGGTGTGCATTGAAGTCACAGAGTTAAACCTATCTTTTGATTCAGCAGATTTGAATCTCTCTTTTTGCAGAATCTGCGAGTGGATATTTGGAGTGCTTGGAAGCCTGCTGTGGAAAATCAAATATCTTCACAAAAAAAACTACACAGAAGCATTCTGAGAAACTTCTTTGTGATGTGTGCATTGATCTCACAGAGTTGAAAGTTTATTTTGATTGAGCTGTTTTGAAACACTCTTTTTCTAGAATCTGCAAGTGGATAATTGGGGAGATTTGAGGCATATTGTGGAAAAGCAAATATCTTCATATAGAAACTATACAGAAACCTTCTGAGAAACATCTTTGTGATGTGTGCATTCAGCTCACAGAGCTGGACCTAACTTTTGAGTGACCAGTTTTGAATCTCTCTTTTTGTACAATATGCAAGTGGATATTTGGAGCGATTTGAGGCCTACATTTGAAAATCAAATATCTTCCCTTAAAAACTACACAGAAACATTCTCAGAAATTGTTTGTCATGTGTGCTTTCCAATTACCAAGTTGAACCTATCTTGTGATTGAGCAGTTTTGAATCTCTCTTTTTGTGGAATCGGCAAGTGGATATTTTTAGCCCTTTGCGGACTGTGGTGGAAAAGGAATTATCTTCAAATCAATTCTACACAGAAGCATTCAGACAAACTTCTTTGTGATGAGTGCATTGGTCACACAGAATTGAACCTTCCCTTTGATTGAGCAATTCTGAAACACTCTTTTGGAGGGTCTGCAAGTGGATATTTTAGAGCTTTGGGACAACTGTGGAAAAGTAAATATCTTCACATAAAAACTACACGGAAGCATTCTGAGAAACTTCTTTGGAGGTGTGCATTCAACTCACAGAGTTGAACCTATCTTTTCATTGAGCAGTTTTGAATCTCTCATTTTGTAGACTCTGCTCGCAGATATTTGGAGAGCTTTGAGGCCTATTGTGGAAAAGGAAATATCTTCACATAAAAACACACAGAAGCACTCTGAGAAACTTCTTTGTGAGGTGTGCTTTCAACTCACAGAGTTGAACCTATCTTTTGATTGAGAAGTTTTGAATCTCTCTTTTTGTAGAAGCTGCATGTGGATATTTGGAGACGTTTGTGGCCTATGGTAGAAAAGGAAATATCTTCAAATAAAAACTAGACAGACGCATTTTGAGAAAATTCTCTGTGCTGTGTGCATTCATATCACATGGTTGAAACTACCTTTGGATTGAGCAGTTTTGAATCTCACTTTTTGTACCATCTGCAATGGATATTTGGAGCCCTTTCTGGTCTGTGGTGGAAAAGGAACTATCCTCAAATAGAAACTACACAGAAGTACTCTGAGAAACTTCTTTGTGATGTGGGCATTCATCTCACAGAGTTGAACCTTTGGTTTGATTGAGCAGTTTTGAGACAATCTTTCCATAGAATCTGGAAGTGAATATTTGGAGAACTTTGAGATCCATTTTGGAGAAGGAGATATCTTTATATGAAAACTACACAGAAGCATTCTGAGAAACATCCTTGTGAGGTGTGCACTGAAGTCACAGAGTTGAAACTGTCTTTTGATTCAGCAGTTTTGAATCTCTCTTTTTGCAGAATCTGTGAGTGGATATTTGGAGCGCTTTGAGGCCTACTGTGGAAAACCAAATATCTTCACATAAAAACTACACAGAAGCATCCTGAGAAACTTTTTTTGTGATGTGGTCTTTCAGCTAATGGAGTAGAAACTATCTTTTGATTGAGCAGTTTTGAATCTCTCTTTTTGCAGAATCTACGAGTGGATAATTGGAGAACTTTGAGGCGTACTGTGGAAAATCGAATATCTTCGCATAAAAACTACACAGAAACATTCTGAGAAACTTCTCTGTCATACGTACATTCATCTCACAGGGTTGATCCTATTTCATGATTGAGCAGTTTTGGAACACTCTTTTTGTAGAATCTGCAAGTGAATATTTGGAGCTCTTTGGGGCCTACTGTGGAAAAACAAATATCTTCACATAAAAACTACACAGAAGCATTCTGAGAAACTACTTTGTGATGTGTGCATTCATCCCACAGAGTAGAACCTTTCTTTTGATTGAGCAGTTTCGAAACACTCTTTTGGTGGAATCTGCAAGTGGACATTTGGAAAGCTTTGAGGCCTATTGTGGAAAGGGAAATATCTTCAAATAAAAACCACCCAGAAGTACTCTGTGAAACTTCTTTGCGATGTATGCATTCAACTCACAGTGTTGAACCTATGTTTTGATTGAGCAGTTTGGAATCTCTCTTTTATGTAGAATCTGCAAGTGAATATTTGGAGCCCTATTTCGCCCTATACTGGAAAAGCAATTATCTTCAAATAAAAACTGCACAGAAGCACTCAGAGAAACTTCTTTGTGATGAATGCATTCATCACACAGAGTTGAACCTTTGTTTTGATTTAGCAGTTTGAGACAATCTTTCCGTAGAATCTTGAAGTGAATATTTGGAGGGCTTGGAGTTCTGTTTTAGAGAAGAAGATATCTTCATCAAAAACTACACAGAAGCTTTCTGAGAAACTTCTTTGTGATGTGTGCATTCAACTATCGGAGTTGAACCTATCTTATGATTGAGGAGTTTGGAAACACTCTTTGTAGAGTCTGCAAGTGGATATTTACAGAGATTTGAGGCCTATTGTGGAAAAGGAAGTATCTTCACATAAAAACCACACAGAAGCACTCTGAAAAACATCTTTGGGATGTGTGCATTCAACTAACCGTGTTGAAACAATGTTTTGATTGAGCAGCTTAGAATCTCTCTTTTTGTAGGAAATGCAAGTGGATATTTGGAGCCCCATTTCGCCCTATGGTGGAAAACGAAACATACTCACAAAAAAGCTGCAGAGAAGCATTCTGAGAAACTTCTTTGCGATGTTGGCATTCAACTCACAGAGTCGAATCTATCTTTTGATAGAGCAGTTTTGTATCTCTCTTTTTGCAGAATCTGCAAGTGGATATTTGGAAAGCTTTGAGGCCTATTGTGGAAAGGGAAATATCCTCAAATAAAAACTACCCAGAAGCACTCTGTGAAACTTCTTTGTGATGTGTGCATTCAACTCACAGTGTTGAACCTATGTTTTGATTGAGCAGTTTGGAATCTCTCCTTTTGTAGAATCTGCAAGTGAATATTTGGAGCCCTATTTCGCCCTATACTGGAAAAGCAAATATCTTCAAATAAAAACTACACAGAGGCCTTCAGAGAAACTTCTCTGTGATGAGTGCATTCATCACACAGAGTTGAACATTTGTTTAGATTTAGCAGTGTTGAGACAATCTTTCCGTAGAATCTTGAAGTGAATATTTGGAGGGCTTTGAGACCTGCTTTGGAGAAGGAGATATCTTCATATAAAAACTACACAGAAGCTTTCTGAGAAACACCCTTGTGAGGTGTGCATTGAAGTCACAGAGTTAAACCTATCTTTTGATTCAGCAGTTTGAATCTCTCTTTTTGCAGAATCTGCGAGTGGATATTTGGAGTGCTTGGAAGCCTGCTGTGGAAAATCAAATATCTTCACAAAAAAAACTACACAGAAGCTTTCTGAGAAACATCTTTGTGATGTGTGCATTGATCTCACAGAGTTGAAAGTTTATTTTGATTGAGCTGTTTTGAAACACTCTTTTTCTAGAATCTGCAAGTGGATAATTGGGGAGATTTGAGGCATATTGTGGAAAAGCAAATATCTTCATATAGAAACTATACAGAAACCTTCTGAGAAACATCTTTGTGATGTGTGCATTCAGCTCACAGAGCTGGACCTAACTTTTGAGTGACCAGTTTTGAATCTCTCTTTTTGTACAATATGCAAGTGGATATTTGGAGCGATTTGAGGCCTACATTTGAAAATCAAATATCTTCCCTTAAAAACTACACAGAAACATTCTCAGAAATTGTTTGTCATGTGTGCTTTCCAATTACCAAGTTGAACCTATCTTGTGATTGAGCAGTTTTGAATCTCTCTTTTTGTGGAATCGGCAAGTGGATATTTTTAGCCCTTTGCGGACTGTGGTGGAAAAGGAATTATCTTCAAATCAATTCTACACAGAAGCATTCAGACAAACTTCTTTGTGATGAGTGCATTGGTCACACAGAATTGAACCTTCCCTTTGATTGAGCAATTCTGAAACACTCTTTTGGAGGGTCTGCAAGTGGATATTTTAGAGCTTTGGGACAACTGTGGAAAAGTAAATATCTTCACATAAAAACTACACGGAAGCATTCTGAGAAACTTCTTTGGAGGTGTGCATTCAACTCACAGAGTTGAACCTATCTTTTCATTGAGCAGTTTTGAATCTCTCATTTTGTAGACTCTGCTCGCAGATATTTGGAGAGCTTTGAGGCCTATTGTGGAAAAGGAAATATCTTCACATCATAAAAACACACAGAAGCACTCTGAGAAACTTCTTTGTGAGGTGTGCTTTCAACTCACAGAGTTGAACCTATCTTTTGATTGAGAAGTTTTGAATCTCTCTTTTTGTAGAAGCTGCATGTGGATATTTGGAGACGTTTGTGGCCTATGGTAGAAAAGGAAATATCTTCAAATAAAAACTAGACAGACGCATTTTGAGAAAATTCTCTGTGCTGTGTGCATTCATATCACATGGTTGAAACTACCTTTGGATTGAGCAGTTTTGAATCTCACTTTTTGTACCATCTGCAATGGATATTTGGAGCCCTTTCTGGTCTGTGGTGGAAAAGGAACTATCCTCAAATAGAAACTACACAGAAGTACTCTGAGAAACTTCTTTGTGATGTGGGCATTCATCTCACAGAGTTGAACCTTTGGTTTGATTGAGCAGTTTTGAGACAATCTTTCCATAGAATCTGGAAGTGAATATTTGGAGAACTTTGAGATCCATTTTGGAGAAGGAGATATCTTTATATAAAAACTCCACAGAAGCATTCTGAGAAACATCCTTGTGAGGTGTGCACTGAAGTCACAGAGTTGAAACTGTCTTTTGATTCAGCAGTTTTGAATCTCTCTTTTTGCAGAATCTGTGAGTGGATATTTGGAGCGCTTTGAGGCCTACTGTGGAAAACCAAATATCTTCACATAAAAACTACACAGAAGCATCCTGAGAAACTTTTTTTGTGATGTGGTCTTTCAGCTAATGGAGTAGAAACTATCTTTTGATTGAGCAGTTTTGAATCTCTCTTTTTGCGGGATCTACGAGTGGATAATTGGAGAACTTTGAGGCGTACTGTGGAAAGTCGAATATCTTCGCATAAAAACTACACAGAAGCATTCTGAGAAACTTCTCTGTCATACGTACATTCATCTCACAGGGTTGATCCTATTTCATGATTGAGCAGTTTTGGAACACTCTTTTTGTAGAATCTGCAAGTGAATATTTGGAGCTCTTTGGGGCCTACTGTGGAAAAACAAATATCTTCACATAAAAACTACACAGAAGCATTCTGAGAAACTACTTTGTGATGTGTGCATTCATCCCACAGAGTAGAACCTTTCTTTTGATTGAGCAGTTTCGAAACACTCTTTTGGTGGAATCTGCAAGTGGACATTTGGAAAGCTTTGAGGCCTATTGTGGAAAGGGAAATATCTTCAAATAAAAACCACCCAGAAGTACTCTGTGAAACTTCTTTGCGATGTATGCATTCAACTCACAGTGTTGAACCTATGTTTTGATTGAGCAGTTTGGAATCTCTCTTTCTGTAGAATCTGCAAGTGAATATTTGGAGCCCTATTTCGCCCTATACTGGAAAAGCAATTATCTTCAAATAAAAACTGCACAGAAGCATTCAGAGAAACTTCTTTGAGATGAATGCATTCATGACACAGAGTTGAAACTTTGTTTTGATTTAGGAGTTTTGAGACAATCTTTCCGTAGAATCTTGAAGTGAATATTTGGAGGGCTTGGAGTTCTGTTTTAGAGAAGGAGATATCTTCATCAAAAACTGCAGAGAAGCTTTCTGAGAAACTTCTTTGTGATGTGTGCATTCAACTATCGGAGTTGAACCTATCTTATGATTGAGCAGTTTGGAAACACTCTTTGTAGAGTCTGCAAGTGGATATTTACAGAGATTTGAGGCCTATTGTGGAAAAGGAAGTATCTTCACATAAAAACCACACAGAAGCACTCTGAAAAACATCTTTGGGATGTGTGCATTCAACTAACCGTGTTGAAACAATGTTTTGATTGAGCAGCTTAGAATCTCTCTTTTTGTAGGAAATGCAAGTGGATATTTGGAGCCCCATTTCGCCCTATGGTGGAAAACGAAACATACTCACAAAAAAGCTGCAGAGAAGCATTCTGAGAAACTTCTTTGAGATGTTGGCATTCAACTCACAGAGTCGAATCTATCTTTTGATAGAGCAGTTTTGTATCTCTCTTTTTGCAGAATCTGCAAGTGGATATTTGGAAAGCTTTGAGGCCTATTGTGGAAAGGGAAATATCCTCAAATAAAAACTACCCAGAAGCACTCTGTGAAACTTCTTTGTGATGTGTGCATTCAACTCACAGTGTTGAACCTATGTTTTGATTGAGCAGTTTGGAATCTCTCCTTTTGTAGAATCTGCAAGTGAATATTTGGAGCCCAATTTCGCCCTATACTGGAAAAGCAAATATCTTCAAATAAAAACTACACAGAGGCATTCAGAGAAACTTCTCTGTGATGAGTGCATTCATCACACAGAGTTGAACATTTGTTTAGATTTAGCAGTGTTGAGACAATCTTTCCGTAGAATCTTGAAGTGAATATTTGGAGGGCTTTGAGACCTGCTTTGGAGAAGGAGATATCTTCATATAAAAACTACACAGAAGCTTTCTGAGAAACACCCTTGTGAGGTGTGCATTGAAGTCACAGAGTTAAACCTATCTTTTGATTCAGCAGATTTGAATCTCTCTTTTTGCAGAATCTGCGAGTGGATATTTGGAGTGCTTGGAAGCCTGCTGTGGAAAATCAAATATCTTCACAAAAAAAACTACACAGAAGCATTCTGAGAAACTTCTTTGTGATGTGTGCATTGATCTCACAGAGTTGAAAGTTTATTTTGATTGAGCTGTTTTGAAACACTCTTTTTCTAGAATCTGCAAGTGGATAATTGGGGAGATTTGAGGCATATTGTGGAAAAGCAAATATCTTCATATAAAAACTATACAGAAACCTTCTGAGAAACATCTTTGTGATGTGTGCATTCAGCTCACAGAGCTGGACCTAACTTTCGAGTGACCAGTTTTGAATCTCTCTTTTTGTACAATATGCAAGTGGATATTTGGAGCGATTTGAGGCCTACATTTGAAAATCAAATATCTTCCCTTAAAAACTACACAGAAACATTCTCAGAAATTGTTTGTCATGTGTGCTTTCCAATTACCAAGTTGAACCTATCTTGTGATTGAGCAGTTTTGAATCTCTCTTTTTGTGGAATCGGCAAGTGGATATTTTTAGCCCTTTGCGGACTGTGGTGGAAAAGGAATTATCTTCAAATCAATTCTACACAGAAGCATTCAGACAAACTTCTTTGTGATGAGTGCATTGGTCACACAGAATTGAACCTTCCCTTTGATTGAGCAATTCTGAAACACTCTTTTGGAGGGTCTGCAAGTGGACATTTTAGAGCTTTGGGACAACTGTGGAAAAGTAAATATCTTCACATAAAAACTACACGGAAGCATTCTGAGAAACTTCTTTGGAGGTGTGCATTCAACTCACAGAGTTGAACCTATCTTTTCATTGAGCAGTTTTGAATCTCTCATTTTGTAGACTCTGCTCGCAGATATTTGGAGAGCTTTGAGGCCTATTGTGGAAAAGGAAATATCTTCACATAAAAACACACAGAAGCACTCTGAGAAACTTCTTTGTGAGGTGTGCTTTCAACTCACAGAGTTGAACCTATCTTTTGATTGAGAAGTTTTGAATCTCTCTTTTTGTAGAAGCTGCATGTGGATATTTGGAGACGTTTGTGGCCTATGGTAGAAAAGGAAATATCTTCAAATAAAAACTAGACAGACGCATTTTGAGAAAATTCTCTGTGCTGTGTGCATTCATATCACATGGTTGAAACTACCTTTGGATTGAGCAGTTTTGAATCTCACTTTTTGTACCATCTGCAATGGATATTTGGAGCCCTTTCTGGTCTGTGGTGGAAAAGGAACTATCCTCAAATAGAAACTACACAGAAGTACTCTGAGAAACTTCTTTGTGATGTGGGCATTCATCTCACAGAGTTGAACCTTTGGTTTGATTGAGCAGTTTTGAGACAATCTTTCCATAGAATCTGGAAGTGAATATTTGGAGAACTTTGAGATCCATTTTGGAGAAGGAGATATCTTTATATGAAAACTACACAGAAGCATTCTGAGAAACATCCTTGTGAGGTGTGCACTGAAGTCACAGAGTTGAAACTGTCTTTTGATTCAGCAGTTTTGAATCTCTCTTTTTGCAGAATCTGTGAGTGGATATTTGGAGCGCTTTGAGGCCTACTGTGGAAAACCAAATATCTTCACATAAAAACTACACAGAAGCATCCTGAGAAACTTTTTTTGTGATGTGGTCTTTCAGCTAATGGAGTAGAAACTATCTTTTGATTGAGCAGTTTTGAATCTCTCTTTTTGCAGAATCTACGAGTGGATAATTGGAGAACTTTGAGGCGTACTGTGGAAAATCGAATATCTTCGCATAAAAACTACACAGAAGCATTCTGAGAAACTTCTCTGTCATACGTACATTCATCTCACAGGGTTGATCCTATTTCATGATTGAGCAGTTTTGGAACACTCTTTTTGTAGAATCTGCAAGTGAATATTTGGAGCTCTTTGGGGCCTACTGTGGAAAAACAAATATCTTCACATAAAAACTACACAGAAGCATTCTGAGAAACTACTTTGTGATGTGTGCATTCATCCCACAGAGTAGAACCTTTCTTTTGATTGAGCAGTTTCGAAACACGCTTTTGGTGGAATCTGCAAGTGGACATTTGGAAAGCTTTGAGGCCTATTGTGGAAAGGGAAATATCTTCAAATAAAAACCACCCAGAAGTACTCTGTGAAACTTCTTTGCGATGTATGCATTCAACTCACAGTGTTGAACCTAAGTTTTGATTGAGCAGTTTGGAATCTCTCTTTCTGTAGAATCTGCAAGTGAATATTTGGAGCCCTATTTCGCCCTATACTGGAAAAGCAATTATCTTCAAATAAAAACTGCACAGAAGCATTCAGAGAAACTTCTTTGACATGAATGCATTCATGACACAGAGTTGAAACTTTGTTTTGATTTAGGAGTTTTGAGACAATCTTTCCGTAGAATCTTGAAGTGAATATTTGGAGGGCTTGGAGTTCTGTTTTAGAGAAGGAGATATCTTCATCAAAAACTACACAGAAGCTTTCTGAGAAACTTCTTTGTGATGTGTGCATTCAACTATCGGAGTTGAACCTATCTTATGATTGAGCAGTTTGGAAACACTCTTTGTAGAGTCTGCAAGTGGATATTTACAGAGATTTGAGGCCTATTGTGGAAAAGGAAGTATCTTCACATAAAAACCACACAGAAGCACTCTGAGAAACATCTTTGGGATGTGTGCATTCAACTAACCGTGTTGAAACAATGTTTTGATTGAGCAGCTTAGAATCTCTCCTTTTGTAGGAAATGCAAGTGGATATTTGGAGCCCCATTTCGCCCTATGGTGGAAAACGAAACATACTCACAAAAAAGCTGCAGAGAAGCATTCTGAGAAACTTCTTTGCGATGTTGGCATTCAACTCACAGAGTCGAATCTATCTTTTGATAGAGCAGTTTTGTATCTCTCTTTTTGCAGAATCTGCAAGTGGATATTTGGAAAGCTTTGAGGCCTATTGTGGAAAGGGAAATATCCTCAAATAAAAACTACCCAGAAGCACTCTGTGAAACTTCTTTGTGATGTGTGCATTCAACTCACAGTGTTGAACCTATGTTTTGATTGAGCAGTTTGGAATCTCTCCTTTTGTAGAATCTGCAAGTGAATATTTGGAGCCCTATTTCGCCCTATACTGGAAAAGCAAATATCTTCAAATAAAAACTACACAGAGGCATTCAGAGAAACTTCTCTGTGATGAGTGCATTCATCACACAGAGTTGAACATTTGTTTAGATTTAGCAGTGTTGAGACAATCTTTCCGTAGAATCTTGAAGTGAATATTTGGAGGGCTTTGAGACCTGCTTTGGAGAAGGAGATATCTTCATATAAAAACTACACAGAAGCTTTCTGAGAAACACCCTTGTGAGGTGTGCATTGAAGTCACAGAGTTAAACCTATCTTTTGATTCAGCAGATTTGAATCTCTCTTTTTGCAGAATCTGCGAGTGGATATTTGGAGTGCTTGGAAGCCTGCTGTGGAAAATCAAATATCTTCACAAAAAAAACTACACAGAAGCATTCTGAGAAACTTCTTTGTGATGTGTGCATTGATCTCACAGAGTTGAAAGTTTATTTGGATTGAGCTGTTTTGAAACACTCTTTTTCTAGAATCTGCAAGTGGATAATTGGGGAGATTTGAGGCATATTGTGGAAAAGCAAATATCTTCATATAGAAACTATACAGAAACCTTCTGAGAAACATCTTTGTGATGTGTGCATTCAGCTCACAGAGCTGGACCTAACTTTTGAGTGACCAGTTTTGAATCTCTCTTTTTGTACAATATGCAAGTGGATATTTGGAGCGATTTGAGGCCTACATTTGAAAATCAAATATCTTCCCTTAAAAACTACACAGAAACATTCTCAGAAATTGTATGTCATGTGTGCTTTCCAATTACCAAGTTGAACCTATCTTGTGATTGAGCAGTTTTGAATCTCTCTTTTTGTGGAATCGGCAAGTGGATATTTTTAGCCCTTTGCGGACTGTGGTGGAAAAGGAATTATCTTCAAATCAATTCTACACAGAAGCATTCAGACAAACTTCTTTGTGATGAGTGCATTGGTCACACAGAATTGAACCTTCCCTTTGATTGAGCAATTCTGAAACACTCTTTTGGAGGGTCTGCAAGTGGATATTTTAGAGCTTTGGGACAACTGTGGAAAAGTAAATATCTTCACATAAAAACTACACGGAAGCATTCTGAGAAACTTCTTTGGAGGTGTGCATTCAACTCACAGAGTTGAACCTATCTTTTCATTGAGCAGTTTTGAATCTCTCATTTTGTAGACTCTGCTCGCAGATATTTGGAGAGCTTTGAGGCCTATTGTGGAAAAGGAAATATCTTCACATAAAAACACACAGAAGCACTCTGAGAAATTTCTTTGTGAGGTGTGCTTTCAACTCACAGATTTGAACCTATCTTTTGATTGAGAAGTTTTGAATCTCTCTTTTTGTAGAAGCTGCATGTGGATATTTGGAAACGTTTGTGGCCTATGGTAGAAAAGGAAATATCTTCAAATAAAAACTAGACAGACGCATTTTGAGAAAATTCTCTGTGCTGTGTGCATTCATATCACATGGTTGAAACTACCTTTGGATTGAGCAGTTTTGAATCTCACTTTTTGTACCATCTGCAATGGATATTTGGAGCCCTTTCTGGTCTGTGGTGGAAAAGGAACTATCCTCAAATAGAAACTACACAGAAGTACTCTGAGAAACTTCTTTGTGATGTGGGCATTCATCTCACAGAGTTGAACCTTTGGTTTGATTGAGCAGTTTTGAGACAATCTTTCCATAGAATCTGGAAGTGAATATTTGGAGAACTTTGAGATCCATTTTGGAGAAGGAGATATCTTTATATGAAAACTACACAGAAGCATTCTGAGAAACATCCTTGTGAGGTGTGCACTGAAGTCACAGAGTTGAAACTGTCTTTTGATTCAGCAGTTTTGAATCTCTCTTTTTGCAGAATCTGTGAGTGGATATTTGGAGCGCTTTGAGGCCTACTGTGGAAAACCAAATATCTTCACATAAAAACTACACAGAAGCATCCTGAGAAACTTTTTTTGTGATGTGGTCTTTCAGCTAATGGAGTAGAAACTATCTTTTGATTGAGCAGTTTTGAATCTCTCTTTTTGCAGAATCTACGAGTGGATAATTGGAGAACTTTGAGGCGTACTGTGGAAAATCGAATATCTTCGCATAAAAACTACACAGAAGCATTCTGAGAAACTTCTCTGTCATACGTACATTCATCTCACAGGGTTGATCCTATTTCATGATGGAGCAGTTTTGGAACACTCTTTTTGTAGAATCTGCAAGTGAATATTTGGAGCTCTTTGGGGCCTACTGTGGAAAAACAAATATCTTCACATAAAAACTACACAGAAGCATTCTGAGAAACTACTTTGTGATGTGTGCATTCATCCCACAGCAGTAGAACCTTTCTTTTGATTGAGCAGTTTCGAAACACTCTTTTGGTGGAATCTGCAAGTGGACATTTGGAAAGCTTTGAGGCCTATTGTGGAAAGGGAAATATCTTCAAATAAAAACCACCCAGAAGTACTCTGTGAAACTTCTTTGCGATGTATGCATTCAACTCACAGTGTTGAACCTATGTTTTGATTGAGCAGTTTGGAATCTCTCTTTCTGTAGAATCTGCAAGTGAATATTTGGAGCCCTATTTCGCCCTATACTGGAAAAGCAATTATCTTCAAATAAAAACTGCACAGAAGCATTCAGAGAAAGTTCTTTGAGATGAATGCATTCATGACACAGAGTTGAAACTTTGTTTTGATTTAGGAGTTTTGAGACAATCTTTCCGTAGAATCTTGAAGTGAATATTTGGAGGGCTTGGAGTTCTGTTTTAGAGAAGGAGATATCTTCATCAAAAACTACACAGAAGCTTTCTGAGAAACTTCTTTGTGATGTGTGCATTCAACTATCGGAGTTGAACCTATCTTATGATTGAGCAGTTTGGAAACACTCTTTGTAGAGTCTGCAAGTGGATATTTACAGAGATTTGAGGCCTATTGTGGAAAAGGAAGTATCTTCACATAAAAACCACACAGAAGCACTCTGAAAAACATCTTTGGGATGTGTGCATTCAACTAACCGTGTTGAAACAATGTTTTGATTGAGCAGCTTAGAATCTCTCCTTTTGTAGGAAATGCAAGTGGATATTTGGAGCCCCATTTCGCCCTATGGTGGAAAACGAAACATACTCACAAAAAAGCTGCAGAGAAGCATTCTGAGAAACTTCTTTGCGATGTTGGCATTCAACTCACAGAGTCGAATCTATCTTTTGATAGAGCAGTTTTGTATCTCTCTTTTTGCAGAATCTGCAAGTGGATATTTGGAAAGCTTTGAGGCCTATTGTGGAAAGGGAAATATCCTCAAATAAAAACTACCCAGAAGCACTCTGTGAAACTTCTTTGTGATGTGTGCATTCAACTCACAGTGTTGAACCTATGTTTTGATTGAGCAGTTTGGAATCTCTCCTTTTGTAGAATCTGCAAGTGAATATTTGGAGCCCTATTTCGCCCTATACTGGAAAAGCAAATATCTTCAAATAAAAACTACACAGAGGCATTCAGAGAAACTTCTCTGTGATGAGTGCATTCATCACACAGAGTTGAACATTTGTTTAGATTTAGCAGTGTTGAGACAATCTTTCCGTAGAATCTTGAAGTGAATATTTGGAGGGCTTTGAGACCTGCTTTGGAGAAGGAGATATCTTCATATAAAAACTACACAGAAGCTTTCTGAGAAACACCCTTGTGAGGTGTGCATTGAAGTCACAGAGTTAAACCTATCTTTTGATTCAGCAGTTTGAATCTCTCTTTTTGCAGAATCTGCGAGTGGATATTTGGAGTGCTTGGAAGCCTGCTGTGGAAAATCAAATATCTTCACAAAAAAAACTACACAGAAGCTTTCTGAGAAACATCTTTGTGATGTGTGCATTGATCTCACAGAGTTGAAAGTTTATTTTGATTGAGCTGTTTTGAAACACTCTTTTTCTAGAATCTGCAAGTGGATAATTGGGGAGATTTGAGGCATATTGTGGAAAAGCAAATATCTTCATATAGAAACTATACAGAAACCTTCTGAGAAACATCTTTGTGATGTGTGCATTCAGCTCACAGAGCTGGACCTAACTTTTGAGTGACCAGTTTTGAATCTCTCTTTTTGTACAATATGCAAGTGGATATTTGGAGCGATTTGAGGCCTACATTTGAAAATCAAATATCTTCCCTTAAAAACTACACAGAAACATTCTCAGAAATTGTTTGTCATGTGTGCTTTCCAATTACCAAGTTGAACCTATCTTGTGATTGAGCAGTTTTGAATCTCTCTTTTTGTGGAATCGGCAAGTGGATATTTTTAGCCCTTTGCGGACTGTGGTGGAAAAGGAATTATCTTCAAATCAATTCTACACAGAAGCATTCAGACAAACTTCTTTGTGATGAGTGCATTGGTCACACAGAATTGAACCTTCCCTTTGATTGAGCAATTCTGAAACACTCTTTTGGAGGGTCTGCAAGTGGACATTTTAGAGCTTTGGGACAACTGTGGAAAAGTAAATATCTTCACATAAAAACTACACGGAAGCATTCTGAGGAAACTTCTTTGGAGGTGTGCATTCAACTCACAGAGTTGAACCTATCTTTTCATTGAGCAGTTTTGAATCTCTCATTTTGTAGACTCTGCTCGCAGATATTTGGAGAGCTTTGAGGCCTATTGTGGAAAAGGAAATATCTTCACATAAAAACACACAGAAGCACTCTGAGAAACTTCTTTGTGAGGTGTGCTTTCAACTCACAGAGTTGAACCTATCTTTTGATTGAGAAGTTTTGAATCTCTCTTTTTGTAGAAGCTGCATGTGGATATTTGGAGACGTTTGTGGCCTATGGTAGAAAAGGAAATATCTTCAAATAAAAACTAGACAGACGCATTTTGAGAAAATTCTCTGTGCTGTGTGCATTCATATCACATGGTTGAAACTACCTTTGGTTTGAGCAGTTTTGAATCTCACTTTTTGTACCATCTGCAATGGATATTTGGAGCCCTTTCTGGTCTGTGGTGGAAAAGGAACTATCCTCAAATAGAAACTACACAGAAGTACTCTGAGAAACTTCTTTGTGATGTGGGCATTCATCTCACAGAGTTGAACCTTTGGTTTGATTGAGCAGTTTTGAGACAATCTTTCCATAGAATCTGGAAGTGAATATTTGGAGAACTTTGAGATCCATTTTGGAGAAGGAGATATCTTTATATGAAAACTACACAGAAGCATTCTGAGAAACATCCTTGTGAGGTGTGCACTGAAGTCACAGAGTTGAAACTGTCTTTTGATTCAGCAGTTTTGAATCTCTCTTTTTGCAGAATCTGTGAGTGGATATTTGGAGCGCTTTGAGGCCTACTGTGGAAAACCAAATATCTTCACATAAAAACTACACAGAAGCATCCTGAGAAACTTTTTTTGTGATGTGGTCTTTCAGCTAATGGAGTAGAAACTATCTTTTGATTGAGCAGTTTTGAGTCTCTCTTTTTGCAGGATCTACGAGTGGATAATTGGAGAACTTTGAGGCGTACTGTGGAAAATCGAATATCTTCGCATAAAAACTACACAGAAGCATTCTGAGAAACTTCTCTGTCATACGTACATTCATCTCACAGGGTTGATCCTATTTCATGATTGAGCAGTTTTGGAACACTCTTTTTGTAGAATCTGCAAGTGAATATTTGGAGCTCTTTGGGGCCTACTGTGGAAAAACAAATATCTTCACATAAAAACTACACAGAAGCATTCTGGGAAACTACTTTGTGATGTGTGCATTCATCCCACAGAGTAGAACCTTTCTTTTGATTGAGCAGTTTCGAAACACTCTTTTGGTGGAATCTTCAAGTGGACATTTGGAAAGCTTTGAGGCCTATTGTGGAAAGGGAAATATCTTCAAATAAAAACCACCCAGAAGTACTCTGTGAAACTTCTTTGCGATGTATGCATTCAACTCACAGTGTTGAACCTATGTTTTGATTGAGCAGTTTGGAATCTCTCTTTCTGTAGAATCTGCAAGTGAATATTTGGAGCCCTATTTCGCCCTATACTGGAAAAGCAATTATCTTCAAATAAAAACTGCACAGAAGCATTCAGAGAAACTTCTTTGAGATGAATGCATTCATGACACAGAGTTGAAACTTTGTTTTGATTTAGGAGTTTTGAGACAATCTTTCCGTAGAATCTTGAAGTGAATATTTGGAGGGCTTGGAGTTCTGTTTTAGAGAAGAAGATATCTTCATCAAAAACTACACAGAAGCTTTCTGAGAAACTTCTTTGTGATGTGTGCATTCAACTATCGGAGTTGAACCTATCTTATGATTGAGCAGTTTGGAAACACTCTTTGTAGAGTCTGCAAGTGGATATTTACAGAGATTTGAGGCCTATTGTGGAAAAGGAAGTATCTTCACATAAAAACCACACAGAAGCACTCTGAAAAACATCTTTGGGATGTGTGCATTCAACTAACCGTGTTGAAACAATGTTTTGATTGAGCAGCTTAGAATCTCTCTTTTTGTAGGAAATGCAAGTGGATATTTGGAGCCCCATTTCGCCCTATGGTGGAAAACGAAACATACTCACAAAAAAGCTGCAGAGAAGCATTCTGAGAAACTTCTTTGCGATGTTGGCATTCAACTCACAGAGTCGAATCTATCTTTTGATAGAGCAGTTTTTTATCTCTCTTTTTGCAGAATCTGCAAGTGGATATTTGGAAAGCTTTGAGGCCTATTGTGGAAAGGGAAATATCCTCAAATAAAAACTACCCAGAAGCACTCTGTGAAACTTCTTTGTGATGTGTGCATTCAACTCACAGTGTTGAACCTATGTTTTGATTGAGCAGTTTGGAATCTCTCCTTTTGTAGAATCTGCAAGTGAATATTTGGAGCCCTATTTCGCCCTATACTGGAAAAGCAAATATCTTCAAATAAAAACTACACAGAGGCATTCAGAGAAACTTCTCTGTGATGAGTGCATTCATCACACAGAGTTGAACATTTGTTTAGATTTAGCAGTGTTGAGACAATCTTTCCGTAGAATCTTGAAGTGAATATTTGGAGGGCTTTGAGACCTGCTTTGGAGAAGGAGATATCTTCATATAAAAACTACACAGAAGCTTTCTGAGAAACACCCTTGTGAGGTGTGCATTGAAGTCACAGAGTTAAACCTATCTTTTGATTCAGCAGATTTGAATCTCTCTTTTTGCAGAATCTGCGAGTGGATATTTGGAGTGCTTGGAAGCCTGCTGTGGAAAATCAAATATCTTCACAAAAAAAACTACACAGAAGCATTCTGAGAAACTTCTTTGTGATGTGTGCATTGATCTCACAGAGTTGAAAGTTTATTTTGATTGAGCTGTTTTGAAACACTCTTTTTCTAGAATCTGCAAGTGGATAATTGGGGAGATTTGAGGCATATTGTGGAAAAGCCAATATCTTCATATAAAAACTATACAGAAACCTTCTGAGAAACATCTTTGTGATGTGTGCATTCAGCTCACAGAGCTGGACCTAACTTTTGAGTGACCAGTTTTGAATCTCTCTTTTTGTACAATATGCAAGTGGATATTTGGAGCGATTTGAGGCCTACATTTGTAAATCAAATATCTTCCCTTAAAATCTACACAGAAACATTCTCAGAAATTGTTTGTCATGTGTGCTTTCCAATTACCAAGTTGAACCTATCTTGTGATTGAGCAGTTTTGAATCTCTCTTTTTGTGGAATCGGCAAGTGGATATTTTTAGCCCTTTGCGGACTGTGGTGGAAAAGGAATTATCTTCAAATCAATTCTACACAGAAGCATTCAGACAAACTTCTTTGTGATGAGTGCATTGGTCACACAGAATTGAACCTTCCCTTTGATTGAGCAATTCTGAAACACTCTTTTGGAGGGTCTGCAAGTGGATATTTTAGAGCTTTGGGACAACTGTGGAAAAGTAAATATCTTCACATAAAAACTACACGGAAGCATTCTGAGAAACTTCTTTGGAGGTGTGCATTCAACTCACAGAGTTGAACCTATCTTTTCATTGAGCAGTTTTGAATCTCTCATTTTGTAGACTCTGCTCGCAGATATTTGGAGAGCTTTGAGGCCTATTGTGGAAAAGGAAATATCTTCACATAAAAACACACAGAAAGCACTCTGAGAAACTTCTTTGTGAGGTGTGCTTTCAACTCACAGAGTTGAACCTATCTTTTGATTGAGAAGTTTTGAATCTCTCTTTTTGTAGAAGCTGCATGTGGATATTTGGAGACGTTTGTGGCCTATGGTAGAAAAGGAAATATCTTCAAATAAAAACTAGACAGCGCATTTTGAGAAAATTCTCTGTGCTGTGTGCATTCATATCACATGGTTGAAACTACCTTTGGATTGAGCAGTTTTGAATCTCACTTTTTGTACCATCTGCAATGGATATTTGGAGCCCTTTCTGGTCTGTGGTGGAAAAGGAACTATCCTCAAATAGAAACTACACAGAAAGTACTCTGAGAAACTTCTTTGTGATGTGGGCATTCATCTCACAGAGTTGAACCTTTGGTTTGATTGAGCAGTTTTGAGACAATCTTTCCATAGAATCTGGAAGTGAATATTTGGAGAACTTTGAGATCCATTTTGGAGAAGGAGATATCTTTATATGAAAACTACACAGAAGCATTCTGAGAAACATCCTTGTGAGGTGTGCACTGAAGTCACAGAGTTGAAACTGTCTTTTGATTCAGCAGTTTTGAATCTCTCTTTTTGCAGAATCTGTGAGTGGATATTTGGAGCGCTTTGAGGCCTACTGTGGAAAACCAAATATCTTCACATAAAAACTACACAGAAGCATCCTGAGAAACTTTTTTTGTGATGTGGTCTTTCAGCTAATGGAGTAGAAACTATCTTTTGATTGAGCAGTTTTGAATCTCTCTTTTTGCAGAATCTACGAGTGGATAATTGGAGAACTTTGAGGCGTACTGTGGAAAATCGAATATCTTCGCATAAAAACTACACAGAAGCATTCTGAGAAACTTCTCTGTCATACGTACATTCATCTCACAGGGTTGATCCTATTTCATGATTGAGCAGTTTTGGAACACTCTTTTTGTAGAATCTGCAAGTGAATATTTGGAGCTCCTTGGGGCCTACTGTGGAAAAACAAATATCTTCACATAAAAACTACACAGAAGCATTCTGAGAAACTACTTTGTGATGTGTGCATTCATCCCACAGAGTAGAACCTTTCTTTTGATTGAGCAGTTTCGAAACACTCTTTTGGTGGAATCTGCAAGTGGACATTTGGAAAGCTTTGAGGCCTATTGTGGAAAGGGAAATATCTTCAAATAAAAACCACCCAGAAGTACTCTGTGAAACTTCTTTGCGATGTATGCATTCAACTCACAGTGTTGAACCTATGTTTTGATTGAGCAGTTTGGAATCTCTCTTTCTGTAGAATCTGCAAGTGAATATTTGGAGCCCTATTTCGCCCTATACTGGAAAAGCAATTATCTTCAAATAAAAACTGCCCAGAAGCATTCAGAGAAACTTCTTTGAGATGAATGCATTCATGACACAGAGTTGAAACTTTGTTTTGATTTAGGAGTTTTGAGACAATCTTTCCGTAGAATCTTGAAGTGAATATTTGGAGGGCTTGGAGTTCTGTTTTAGAGAAGGAGATATCTTCATCAAAAACTGCACAGAAGCTTTCTGAGAAACTTCTTTGTGATGTGTGCATTCAACTATCGGAGTTGAACCTATCTTATGATTGAGCAGTTTGGAAACACTCTTTGTAGAGTCTGCAAGTGGATATTTACAGAGATTTGAGGCCTATTGTGGAAAAGGAAGTATCTTCACATAAAAACCACACAGAAGCACTCTGAAAAACATCTTTGGGATGTGTGCATTCAACTAACCGTGTTGAAACAATGTTTTGATTGAGCAGCTTAGAATCTCTCTTTTTGTAGGAAATGCAAGTGGATATTTGGAGCCCCATTTCGCCCTATGGTGGAAAACGAAACATACTCACAAAAAAGCTGCAGAGAAGCATTCTGAGAAACTTCTTTGCGATGTTGGCATTCAACTCACAGAGTCGAATCTATCTTTTGATAGAGCAGTTTTGTATCTCTCTTTTTGCAGAATCTGCAAGTGGATATTTGGAAAGCTTTGAGGCCTATTGTGGAAAGGGAAATATCCTCAAATAAAAACTACCCAGAAGCACTCTGTGAAACTTCTTTGTGATGTGTGCATTCAACTCACAGTGTTGAACCTATGTTTTGATTGAGCAGTTTGGAATCTCTCCTTTTGTAGAATCTGCAAGTGAATATTTGGAGCCCTATTTCGCCCTATACTGGAAAAGCAAATATCTTCAAATAAAAACTACACAGAGGCATTCAGAGAAACTTCTCTGTGATGAGTGCATTCATCACACAGAGTTGAACATTTGTTTAGATTTAGCAGTGTTGAGACAATCTTTCCGTAGAATCTTGAAGTGAATATTTGGAGGGCTTTGAGACCTGCTTTGGAGAAGGAGATATCTTCATATAAAAACTACACAGAAGCTTTCTGAGAAACACCCTTGTGAGGTGTGCATTGAAGTCACAGAGTTAAACCTATCTTTTGATTCAGCAGATTTGAATCTCTCTTTTTGCAGAATCTGCGAGTGGATATTTGGAGTGCTTGGAAGCCTGCTGTGGAAAATCAAATATCTTCACAAAAAAAACTACACAGAAGCATTCTGAGAAACTTCTTTGTGATGTGTGCATTGATCTCACAGAGTTGAAAGTTTATTTTGATTGAGCTGTTTTGAAACACTCTTTTTCTAGAATCTGCAAGTGGATAATTGGGGAGATTTGAGGCATATTGTGGAAAAGCAAATATCTTCATATAAAAACTATACAGAAACCTTCTGAGAAACATCTTTGTGATGTGTGCATTCAGCTCACAGAGCTGGACCTAACTTTCGAGTGACCAGTTTTGAATCTCTCTTTTTGTACAATATGCAAGTGGATATTTGGAGCGATTTGAGGCCTACATTTGAAAATCAAATATCTTCCCTTAAAAACTACACAGAAACATTCTCAGAAATTGTTTGTCATGTGTGCTTTCCAATTACCAAGTTGAACCTATCTTGTGATTGAGCAGTTTTGAATCTCTCTTTTTGTGGAATCGGCAAGTGGATATTTTTAGCCCTTTGCGGACTGTGGTGGAAAAGGAATTATCTTCAAATCAATTCTACACAGAAGCATTCAGACAAACTTCTTTGTGATGAGTGCATTGGTCACACAGAATTGAACCTTCCCTTTGATTGAGCAATTCTGAAACACTCTTTTGGAGGGTCTGCAAGTGGACATTTTAGAGCTTTGGGACAACTGTGGAAAAGTAAATATCTTCACATAAAAACTACACGGAAGCATTCTGAGAAACTTCTTTGGAGGTGTGCATTCAACTCACAGAGTTGAACCTATCTTTTCATTGAGCAGTTTTGAATCTCTCATTTTGTAGACTCTGCTCGCAGATATTTGGAGAGCTTTGAGGCCTATTGTGGAAAAGGAAATATCTTCACATAAAAACACACAGAAGCACTCTGAGAAACTTCTCTGTGAGGTGTGCTTTCAACTCACAGAGTTGAACCTATCTTTTGATTGAGAAGTTTTGAATCTCTCTTTTTGTAGAAGCTGCATGTGGATATTTGGAGACGTTTGTGGCCTATGGTAGAAAAGGAAATATCTTCAAATAAAAACTAGACAGACGCATTTTGAGAAAATTCTCTGTGCTGTGTGCATTCATATCACATGGTTGAAACTACCTTTGGATTGAGCAGTTTTGAATCTCACTTTTTGTACCATCTGCAATGGATATTTGGAGCCCTTTCTGGTCTGTGGTGGAAAAGGAACTATCCTCAAATAGAAACTACACAGAAGTACTCTGAGAAACTTCTTTGTGATGTGGGCATTCATCTCACAGAGTTGAACCTTTGGTTTGATTGAGCAGTTTTGAGACAATCTTTCCATAGAATCTGGAAGTGAATATTTGGAGAACTTTGAGATCCATTTTGGAGAAGGAGATATCTTTATATAAAAACTACACAGAAGCATTCTGAGAAACATCCTTGTGAGGTGTGCACTCTAAGTCACAGAGTTGAAACTGTCTTTTGATTCAGCAGTTTTGAATCTCTCTTTTTGCAGAACCTGTGAGTGGATATTTGGAGCGCTTTGAGGCCTACTGTGGAAAACCAAATATCTTCACATAAAAACTACACAGAAAGCATCCTGAGAAACTTTTTTTGTGATGTGGTCTTTCAGCTAATGGAGTAGAAACTATCTTTTGATTGAGCAGTTTTGAATCTCTCTTTTTGCAGAATCTACGAGTGGATAATTGGAGAACTTTGAGGCGTACTGTGGAAAATCGAATATCTTCGCATAAAAACTACACAGAAGCATTCTGAGAAACTTCTCTGTCATACGTACATTCATCTCACAGAGTTGATCCTATTTCATGATTGAGCAGTTTTGGAACACTCTTTTTGTAGAATCTGCAAGTGAATATTTGGAGCTCTTTGGGGCCTACTGTGGAAAAACAAATATCTTCACATAAAAACTACACAGAAGCATTCTGAGAAACTACTTTGTGATGTGTGCATTCATCCCACAGAGTAGAACCTTTCTTTTGATTGAGCAGTTTCGAAACACTCTTTTGGTGGAATCTGCAAGTGGACATTTGGAAAGCTTTGAGGCCTATTGTGGAAAGGGAAATATCTTCAAATAAAAACCACCCAGAAGTACTCTGTGAAACTTCTTTGCGATGTATGCATTCAACTCACAGTGTTGAACCTATGTTTTGATTGAGCAGTTTGGAATCTCTCTTTCTGTAGAATCTGCAAGTGAATATTTGGAGCCCTATTTCGCCCTATACTGGAAAAGCAATTATCTTCAAATAAAAACTGCACAGAAGCACTCAGAGAAACTTCTTTGTGATGAATGCATTCATCACACAGAGTTGAACCTTTGTTTTGATTTAGCAGTTTGAGACAATCTTTCCGTAGAATCTTGAAGTGAATATTTGGAGGGCTTGGAGTTCTGTTTTAGAGAAGAAGATATCTTTATCAAAAACTACACAGAAGCTTTCTGAGAAACTTCTTTGTGATGTGTGCATTCAACTATCGGAGTTGAACCTATCTTATGATTGAGGAGTTTGGAAACACTCTTTGTAGAGTCTGCAAGTGGATATTTACAGAGATTTGAGGCCTATTGTGGAAAAGGAAGTATCTTCACATAAAAACCACACAGAAGCACTCTGAAAAACATCTTTGGGATGTGTGCATTCAACTAACCGTGTTGAAACAATGTTTTGATTGAGCAGCTTAGAATCTCTCTTTTTGTAGGAAATGCAAGTGGATATTTGGAGCCCCATTTCGCCCTATGGTGGAAAACGAAACATACTCACAAAAAAGCTGCAGAGAAGCATTCTGAGAAACTTCTTTGCGATGTTGGCATTCAACTCACAGAGTCGAATCTATCTTTTGATAGAGCAGTTTTGTATCTCTCTTTTTGCAGAATCTGCAAGTGGATATTTGGAAAGCTTTGAGGCCTATTGTGGAAAGGGAAATATCCTCAAATAAAAACTACCCAGAAGCACTCTGTGAAACTTCTTTGTGATGTGTGCATTCAACTCACAGTGTTGAACCTATGTTTTGATTGAGCAGTTTGGAATCTCTCCTTTTGTAGAATCTGCAAGTGAATATTTGGAGCCCTATTTCGCCCTATACTGGAAAAGCAAATATCTTCAAATAAAAACTACACAGAGGCATTCAGAGAAACTTCTCTGTGATGAGTGCATTCATCACACAGAAGTTGAACATTTGTTTAGATTTAGCAGTGTTGAGACAATCTTTCCGTAGAATCTTGAAGTGAATATTTGGAGGGCTTTGAGACCTGCTTTGGAGAAGGAGATATCTTCATATAAAAACTACACAGAAGCTTTCTGAGAAACACCCTTGTGAGGTGTGCATTGAAGTCACAGAGTTAAACCTATCTTTTGATTCAGCAGATTTGAATCTCTCTTTTTGCAGAATCTGCGAGTGGATATTTGGAGTGCTTGGAAGCCTGCTGTGGAAAATCAAATATCTTCACAAAAAAAACTACACTGAAGCATTCTGAGAAACTTCTTTGTGATGTGTGCATTGATCTCACAGAGTTGAAAGTTTATTTTGATTGAGCTGTTTTGAAACACTCTTTTTCTAGAATCTGCAAGTGGATAATTGGGGAGATTTGAGGCATATTGTGGAAAAGCCAATATCTTCATATAGAAACTATACAGAAACCTTCTGAGAAACATCTTTGTGATGTGTGCATTCAGCTCACAGAGCTGGACCTAACTTTTGAGTGACCAGTTTTGAATCTCTCTTTTTGTACAATATGCAAGTGGATATTTGGAGCGATTTGAGGCCTACATTTGAAAATCAAATATCTTCCCTTAAAAACTACACAGAAACATTCTCAGAAATTGTTTGTCATGTGTGCTTTCCAATTACCAAGTTGAACCTATCTTGTGATTGAGCAGTTTTGAATCTCTCTTTTTGTGGAATCGGCAAGTGGATATTTTTAGCCCTTTGCGGACTGCGGTGGAAAAGGAATTATCTTCAAATCAATTCTACACAGAAGCATTCAGACAAACTTCTTTGTGATGAGTGCATTGGTCACACAGAATTGAACCTTCCCTTTGATTGAGCAATTCTGAAACACTCTTTTGGAGGGTCTGCAAGTGGACATTTTAGAGCTTTGGGACAACTGTGGAAAAGTAAATATCTTCACATAAAAACTACACGGAAGCATTCTGAGAAACTTCTTTGGAGGTGTGCATTCAACTCACAAGAGTTGAACCTATCTTTTCATTGAGCAGTTTTGAATCTCTCATTTTGTAGACTCTGCTCGCAGATATTTGGAGAGCTTTGAGGCCTATTGTGGAAAAGGAAATATCTTCACATAAAAACACACAGAAGCACTCTGAGAAACTTCTTTGTGAGGTGTGCTTTCAACTCACAGAGTTGAACCTATCTTTTGATTGAGAAGTTTTGAATCTCTCTTTTTGTAGAAGCTGCATGTGGATATTTGGAGACGTTTGTGGCCTATGGTAGAAAAGGAAATATCTTCAAATAAAAACTAGACAGACGCATTTTGAGAAAATTCTCTGTGCTGTGTGCATTCATATCACATGGTTGAAACTACCTTTGGATTGAGCAGTTTTGAATCTCACTTTTTGTACCATCTGCAATGGATATTTGGAGCCCTTTCTGGTCTGTGGTGGAAAAGGAACTATCCTCAAATAGAAACTACACAGAAGTACTCTGAGAAACTTCTTTGTGATGTGGGCATTCATCTCACAGAGTTGAACCTTTGGTTTGATTGAGCAGTTTTGAGACAATCTTTCCATAGAATCTGGAAGTGAATATTTGGAGAACTTTGAGATCCATTTTGGAGAAGGAGATATCTTTATATAAAAACTACACAGAAAGCATTCTGAGAAACATCCTTGTGAGGTGTGCACTGAAGTCACAGAGTTGAAACTGTCTTTTGATTCAGCAGTTTTGAATCTCTCTTTTTGCAGAATCTGTGAGTGGATATTTGGAGCGCTTTGAGGCCTACTGTGGAAAACCAAATATCTTCACATAAAAACTACACAGAAGCATCCTGAGAAACTTTTTTTGTGATGTGGTCTTTCAGCTAATGGAGTAGAAACTATCTTTTGATTGAGCAGTTTTGAATCTCTCTTTTTGCAGAATCTACGAGTGGATAATTGGAGAACTTTGAGGCGTACTGTGGAAAATCGAATATCTTCGCATAAAAACTACACAGAAGCATTCTGAGAAACTTCTCTGTCATACGTACATTCATCTCACAGGGTTGATCCTATTTCATGATTGAGCAGTTTTGGAACACTCTTTTTGTAGAATCTGCAAGTGAATATTTGGAGCTCTTTGGGGCCTACTGTGGAAAAACAAATATCTTCACATAAAAACTACACAGAAGCATTCTGAGAAACTACTTTGTGATGTGTGCATTCATCCCACAGAGTAGAACCTTTCTTTTGATTGAGCAGTTTCGAAACACTCTTTTGGTGGAATCTGCAAGTGGACATTTGGAAAGCTTTGAGGCCTATTGTGGAAAGGGAAATATCTTCAAATAAAAACCACCCAGAAGTACTCTGTGAAACTTCTTTGCGATGTATGCATTCAACTCACAGTGTTGAACCTATGTTTTGATTGAGCAGTTTGGAATCTCTCTTTCTGTAGAATCTGCAAGTGAATATTTGGAGCCCTATTTCGCCCTATACTGGAAAAGCAATTATCTTCAAATAAAAACTGCACAGAAGCATTCAGAGAAAGTTCTTTGAGATGAATGCATTCATGACACAGAGTTGAAACTTTGTTTTGATTTAGGAGTTTTGAGACAATCTTTCCGTAGAATCTTGAAGTGAATATTTGGAGGGCTTGGAGTTCTGTTTTAGAGAAGGAGATATCTTCATCAAAAACTACACAGAAGCTTTCTGAGAAACTTCTTTGTGATGTGTGCATTCAACTATCGGAGTTGAACCTATCTTATGATTGAGCAGTTTGGAAACACTCTTTGTAGAGTCTGCAAGTGGATATTTACAGAGATTTGAGGCCTATTGTGGAAAAGGAAGTATCTTCACATAAAAACCACACAGAAGCACTCTGAAAAACATCTTTGGGATGTGTGCATTCAACTAACCGTGTTGAAACAATGTTTTGATTGAGCAGCTTAGAATCTCTCTTTTTGTAGGAAATGCAAGTGGATATTTGGAGCCCCATTTCGCCCTATGGTGGAAAACGAAACATACTCACAAAAAAGCTGCAGAGAAGCATTCTGAGAAACTTCTTTGCGATGTTGGCATTCAACTCACAGAGTCGAATCTATCTTTTGATAGAGCAGTTTTGTATCTCTCTTTTTGCAGAATCTGCAAGTGGATATTTGGAAAGCTTTGAGGCCTATTGTGGAAAGGGAAATATCCTCAAATAAAAACTACCCAGAAGCACTCTGTGAAACTTCTTTGTGATGTGTGCATTCAACTCACAGTGTTGAACCTATGTTTTGATTGAGCAGTTTGGAATCTCTCCTTTTGTAGAATCTGCAAGTGAATATTTGGAGCCCTATTTCGCCCTATACTGGAAAAGCAAATATCTTCAAATAAAAACTACACAGAGGCATTCAGAGAAACTTCTCTGTGATGAGTGCATTCATCACACAGAGTTGAACATTTGTTTAGATTTAGCAGTGTTGAGACAATCTTTCCGTAGAATCTTGAAGTGAATATTTGGAGGGCTTTGAGACCTGCTTTGGAGAAGGAGATATCTTCATATAAAAACTACACAGAAGCTTTCTGAGAAACACCCTTGTGAGGTGTGCATTGAAGTCACAGAGTTAAACCTATCTTTTGATTCAGCAGATTTGAATCTCTCTTTTTGCAGAATCTGCGAGTGGATATTTGGAGTGCTTGGAAGCCTGCTGTGGAAAATCAAATATCTTCACAAAAAAAACTACACAGAAGCATTCTGAGAAACTTCTTTGTGATGTGTGCATTGATCTCACAGAGTTGAAAGTTTATTTTGATTGAGCTGTTTTGAAACACTCTTTTTCTAGAATCTGCAAGTGGATAATTGGGGAGATTTGAGGCATATTGTGGGAAAGCAAATATCTTCATATAGAAACTATACAGAAACCTTCTGAGGAAACATCTTTGTGATGTGTGCATTCAGCTCACAGAGCTGGACCTAACTTTTGAGTGACCAGTTTTGAATCTCTCTTTTTGTACAATATGCAAGTGGATATTTGGAGCGATTTGAGGCCTACATTTGAAAATCAAATATCTTCCCTTAAAAACTACACAGAAACATTCTCAGAAATTGTTTGTCATGTGTGCTTTCCAATTACCAAGTTGAACCTATCTTGTGATTGAGCAGTTTTGAATCTCTCTTTTTGTGGAATCGGCAAGTGGATATTTTTAGCCCTTTGCGGACTGTGGTGGAAAAGGAATTATCTTCAAATCAATTCTACACAGAAGCATTCAGACAAACTTCTTTGTGATGAGTGCATTGGTCACACAGAATTGAACCTTCCCTTTGATTGAGCAATTCTGAAACACTCTTTTGGAGGGTCTGCAAGTGGACATTTTAGAGCTTTGGGACAACTGTGGAAAAGTAAATATCTTCACATAAAAACTACACGGGAAGCATTCTGAGAAACTTCTTTGGAGGTGTGCATTCAACTCACAGAGTTGAACCTATCTTTTCATTGAGCAGTTTTGAATCTCTCATTTTGTAGACTCTGCTCGCAGATATTTGGAGAGCTTTGAGGCCTATTGTGGAAAAGGAAATATCTTCACATAAAAACACACAGAAGCACTCTGAGAAACTTCTCTGTGAGGTGTGCTTTCAACTCACAGAGTTGAACCTATCTTTTGATTGAGAAGTTTTGAATCTCTCTTTTTGTAGAAGCTGCATGTGGATATTTGGAGACGTTTGTGGCCTATGGTAGAAAAGGAAATATCTTCAAATAAAAACTAGACAGACGCATTTTGAGAAAATTCTCTGTGCTGTGTGCATTCATATCACATGGTTGAAACTACCTTTGGATTGAGCAGTTTTGAATCTCACTTTTTGTACCATCTGCAATGGATATTTGGAGCCCTTTCTGGTCTGTGGTGGAAAAGGAACTATCCTCAAATAGAAACTACACAGAAGTACTCTGAGAAACTTCTTTGTGATGTGGGCATTCATCTCACAGAGTTGAACCTTTGGTTTGATTGAGCAGTTTTGAGACAATCTTTCCATAGAATCTGGAAGTGAATATTTGGAGAACTTTGAGATCCATTTTGGAGAAGGAGATATCTTTATATAAAAACTACACAGAAGCATTCTGAGAAACATCCTTGTGAGGTGTGCACTGAAGTCACAGAGTTGAAACTGTCTTTTGATTCAGCAGTTTTGAATCTCTCTTTTTGCAGAATCTGTGAGTGGATATTTGGAGCGCTTTGAGGCCTACTGTGGAAAACCAAATATCTTCACATAAAAACTACACAGAAGCATCCTGAGAAACTTTTTTTGTGATGTGGTCTTTCAGCTAATGGAGTAGAAACTATCTTTTGATTGAGCAGTTTTGAATCTCTCTTTTTGCAGGATCTACGAGTGGATAATTGGAGAACTTTGAGGCGTACTGTGGAAAGTCGAATATCTTCGCATAAAAACTACACAGAAGCATTCTGAGAAACTTCTCTGTCATACGTACATTCATCTCACAGGGTTGATCCTATTTCATGATTGAGCAGTTTTGGAACACTCTTTTTGTAGAATCTGCAAGTGAATATTTGGAGCTCTTTGGGGCCTACTGTGGAAAAACAAATATCTTCACATAAAAACTACACAGAAGCATTCTGAGAAACTACTTTGTGATGTGTGCATTCATCCCACAGAGTAGAACCTTTCTTTTGATTGAGCAGTTTCGAAACACTCTTTTGGTGGAATCTGCAAGTGGACATTTGGAAAGCTTTGAGGCCTATTGTGGAAAGGGAAATATCTTCAAATAAAAACCACCCAGAAGTACTCTGTGAAACTTCTTTGCGATGTATGCATTCAACTCACAGTGTTGAACCTATGTTTTGATTGAGCAGTTTGGAATCTCTCTTTCTGTAGAATCTGCAAGTGAATATTTGGAGCCCTATTTCGCCCTATACTGGAAAAGCAATTATCTTCAAATAAAAACTGCACAGAAGCATTCAGAGAAAGTTCTTTGAGATGAATGCATTCATGACACAGAGTTGAAACTTTGTTTTGATTTAGGAGTTTTGAGACAATCTTTCCGTAGAATCTTGAAGTGAATATTTGGAGGGCTTGGAGTTCTGTTTTAGAGAAGGAGATATCTTCATCAAAAACTACACAGAAGCTTTCTGAGAAACTTCTTTGTGATGTGTGCATTCAACTATCGGAGTTGAACCTATCTTATGATTGAGCAGTTTGGAAACACTCTTTGTAGAGTCTGCAAGTGGATATTTACAGAGATTTGAGGCCTATTGTGGAAAAGGAAGTATCTTCACATAAAAACCACACAGAAGCACTCTGAAAAACATCTTTGGGATGTGTGCATTCAACTAACCGTGTTGAAACAATGTTTTGATTGAGCAGCTTAGAATCTCTCTTTTTGTAGGAAATGCAAGTGGATATTTGGAGCCCCATTTCGCCCTATGGTGGAAAACGAAACATACTCACAAAAAAGCTGCAGAGAAGCATTCTGAGAAACTTCTTTGCGATGTTGGCATTCAACTCACAGAGTCGAATCTATCTTTTGATAGAGCAGTTTTGTATCTCTCTTTTTGCAGAATCTGCAAGTGGATATTTGGAAAGCTTTGAGGCCTATTGTGGAAAGGGAAATATCCTCAAATAAAAACTACCCAGAAGCACTCTGTGAAACTTCTTTGTGATGTGTGCATTCAACTCACAGTGTTGAACCTATGTTTTGATTGAGCAGTTTGGAATCTCTCCTTTTGTAGAATCTGCAAGTGAATATTTGGAGCCCTATTTCGCCCTATACTGGAAAAGCAAATATCTTCAAATAAAAACTACACAGAGGCATTCAGAGAAACTTCTCTGTGATGAGTGCATTCATCACACAGAGTTGAACATTTGTTTAGATTTAGCAGTGTTGAGACAATCTTTCCGTAGAATCTTGAAGTGAATATTTGGAGGGCTTTGAGACCTGCTTTGGAGAAGGAGATATCTTCATATAAAAACTACACAGAAGCTTTCTGAGAAACACCCTTGTGAGGTGTGCATTGAAGTCACAGAGTTAAACCTATCTTTTGATTCAGCAGATTTGAATCTCTCTTTTTGCAGAATCTGCGAGTGGATATTTGGAGTGCTTGGAAGCCTGCTGTGGAAAATCAAATATCTTCACAAAAAAAACTACACAGAAGCATTCTGAGAAACTTCTTTGTGATGTGTGCATTGATCTCACAGAGTTGAAAGTTTATTTTGATTGAGCTGTTTTGAAACACTCTTTTTCTAGAATCTGCAAGTGGATAATTGGGGAGATTTGAGGCATATTGTGGAAAAGCAAATATCTTCATATAGAAACTATACAGAAACCTTCTGAGAAACATCTTTGTGATGTGTGCATTCAGCTCACAGAGCTGGACCTAACTTTTGAGTGACCAGTTTTGAATCTCTCTTTCTGTACAATATGCAAGTGGATATTTGGAGCGATTTGAGGCCTACATTTGAAAATCAAATATCTTCCCTTAAAAACTACACAGAAACATTCTCAGAAATTGTTTGTCATGTGTGCTTTCCAATTACCAAGTTGAACCTATCTTGTGATTGAGCAGTTTTGAATCTCTCTTTTTGTGGAATCGGCAAGTGGATATTTTTAGCCCTTTGCGGACTGTGGTGGAAAAGGAATTATCTTCAAATCAATTCTACACAGAAGCATTCAGACAAACTTCTTTGTGATGAGTGCATTGGTCACACAGAATTGAACCTTCCCTTTGATTGAGCAATTCTGAAACACTCTTTTGGAGGGTCTGCAAGTGGATATTTTAGAGCTTTGGGACAACTGTGGAAAAGTAAATATCTTCACATAAAAACTACACGGAAGCATTCTGAGAAACTTCTTTGGAGGTGTGCATTCAACTCACAGAGTTGAACCTATCTTTTCATTGAGCAGTTTTGAATCTCTCATTTTGTAGACTCTGCTCGCAGATATTTGGAGAGCTTTGAGGCCTATTGTGGAAAAGGAAATATCTTCACATAAAAACACACAGAAGCACTCTGAGAAACTTCTTTGTGAGGTGTGCTTTCAACTCACAGAGTTGAACCTATCTTTTGATTGAGAAGTTTTGAATCTCTCTTTTTGTAGAAGCTGCATGTGGATATTTGGAGACGTTTGTGGCCTATGGTAGAAAAGGAAATATCTTCAAATAAAAACTAGACAGACGCATTTTGAGAAAATTCTCTGTGCTGTGTGCATTCATATCACATGGTTGAAACTACCTTTGGATTGAGCAGTTTTGAATCTCACTTTTTGTACCATCTGCAATGGATATTTGGAGCCCTTTCTGGTCTGTGGTGGAAAAGGAACTATCCTCAAATAGAAACTACACAGAAGTACTCTGAGAAACTTCTTTGTGATGTGGGCATTCATCTCACAGAGTTGAACCTTTGGTTTGATTGAGCAGTTTTGAGACAATCTTTCCATAGAATCTGGAAGTGAATATTTGGAGAACTTTGAGATGCATTTTGGAGAAGGAGATATCTTTATATGAAAACTACACAGAAGCATTCTGAGAAACATCCTTGTGAGGTGTGCACTGAAGTCACAGAGTTGAAACTGTCTTTTGATTCAGCAGTTTTGAATCTCTCTTTTTGCAGAATCTGTGAGTGGATATTTGGAGCGCTTTGAGGCCTACTGTGGAAAACCAAATATCTTCACATAAAAACTACACAGAAGCATCCTGAGAAACTTTTTTTGTGATGTGGTCTTTCAGCTAATGGAGTAGAAACTATCTTTTGATTGAGCAGTTTTGAATCTCTCTTTTTGCAGAATCTACGAGTGGATAATTGGAGAACTTTGAGGCGTACTGTGGAAAATCGAATATCTTCGCATAAAAACTACACAGAAGCATTCTGAGAAACTTCTCTGTCATACGTACATTCATCTCACAGAGTTGATCCTATTTCATGATTGAGCAGTTTTGGAACACTCTTTTTGTAGAATCTGCAAGTGAATATTTGGAGCTCTTTGGGGCCTACTGTGGAAAAACAAATATCTTCACATAAAAACTACACAGAAGCATTCTGAGAAACTACTTTGTGATGTGTGCATTCATCCCACAGAGTAGAACCTTTCTTTTGATTGAGCAGTTTCGAAACACTCTTTTGGTGGAATCTGCAAGTGGACATTTGGAAAGCTTTGAGGCCTATTGTGGAAAGGGAAATATCTTCAAATAAAAACCACCCAGAAGTACTCTGTGAAACTTCTTTGCGATGTATGCATTCAACTCACAGTGTTGAACCTATGTTTTGATTGAGCAGTTTGGAATCTCTCTTTCTGTAGAACCTGCAAGTGAATATTTGGAGCCCTATTTCGCCCTATACTGGAAAAGCAATTATCTTCAAATAAAAACTGCACAGAAGCATTCAGAGAAACTTCTTTGAGATGAATGCATTCATGACACAGAGTTGAAACTTTGTTTTGATTTAGGAGTTTTGAGACAATCTTTCCGTAGAATCTTGAAGTGAATATTTGGAGGGCTTGGAGTTCTGTTTTAGAGAAGAAGATATCTTCATCAAAAACTACACAGAATCTTTCTGAGAAACTTCTTTGTGATGTGTGCATTCAACTATCGGAGTTGAACCTATCTTATGATTGAGCAGTTTGGAAACACTCTTTGTAGAGTCTGCAAGTGGATATTTACAGAGATTTGAGGCCTATTGTGGAAAAGGAAGTATCTTCACATAAAAACCACACAGAAGCACTCTGAAAAACACCTTTGGGATGTGTGCATTCAACTAACCGTGTTGAAACAATGTTTTGATTGAGCAGCTTAGAATCTCTCTTTTTGTAGGAAATGCAAGTGGATATTTGGAGCCCCATTTCGCCCTATGGTGGAAAACGAAACATACTCACAAAAAAGCTGCAGAGAAGCATTCTGAGAAACTTCTTTGCGATGTTGGCATTCAACTCACAGAGTCGAATCTATCTTTTGATAGAGCAGTTTTGTATCTCTCTTTTTGCAGAATCTGCAAGTGGATATTTGGAAAGCTTTGAGGCCTATTGTGGAAAGGGAAATATCCTCAAATAAAAACTACCCAGAAGCACTCTGTGAAACTTCTTTGTGATGTGTGCATTCAACTCACAGTGTTGAACCTATGTTTTGATTGAGCAGTTTGGAATCTCTCCTTTTGTAGAATCTGCAAGTGAATATTTGGAGCCCTATTTCGCCCTATACTGGAAAAGCAAATATCTTCAAATAAAAACTACACAGAGGCATTCAGAGAAACTTCTCTGTGATGAGTGCATTCATCACACAGAGTTGAACATTTGTTTAGATTTAGCAGTGTTGAGACCATCTTTCCGTAGAATCTTGAAGTGAATATTTGGAGGGCTTTGAGACCTGCTTTGGAGAAGGAGATATCTTCATATAAAAACTACACAGAAGCTTTCTGAGAAACACCCTTGTGAGGTGTGCATTGAAGTCACAGAGTTAAACCTATCTTTTGATTCAGCAGATTTGAATCTCTCTTTTTGCAGAATCTGCGAGTGGATATTTGGAGTGCTTGGAAGCCTGCTGTGGAAAATCAAATATCTTCACAAAAAAAACTACACAGAAGCATTCTGAGAAACTTCTTTGTGATGTGTGCATTGATCTCACAGAGTTGAAAGTTTATTTTGATTGAGCTGTTTTGAAACACTCTTTTTCTAGAATCTGCAAGTGCATAATTGGGGAGATTTGAGGCATATTGTGGAAAAGCAAATATCTTCATATAAAAACTATACAGAAACCTTCTGAGAAACATCTTTGTGATGTGTGCATTCAGCTCACAGAGCTGGACCTAACTTTCGAGTGACCAGTTTTGAATCTCTCTTTTTGTACAATATGCAAGTGGATATTTGGAGCGATTTGAGGCCTACATTTGAAAATCAAATATCTTCCCTTAAAACTACACAGAAACATTCTCAGAAATTGTTTGTCATGTGTGCTTTCCAATTACCAAGTTGAACCTATCTTGTGATTGAGCAGTTTGGAATCTCTCTTTTTGTGGAATTGGCAAGTGGATATTTTTAGCCCTTTGCGGACTGTGGTGGAAAAGGAATTATCTTCAAATCAATTCTACACAGAAGCATTCAGACAAACTTCTTTGTGATGAGTGCATTGGTCACACAGAATTGAACCTTCCCTTTGATTGAGCAATTCTGAAACACTCTTTTGGAGGGTCTGCAAGTGGACATTTTAGAGCTTTGGGACAACTGTGGAAAAGTAAATATCTTCACATAAAAACTACACGGAAGCATTCTGAGAAACTTCTTTGGAGGTGTGCATTCAACTCACAGAGTTGAACCTATCTTTTCATTGAGCAGTTTTGAATCTCTCATTTTGTAGACTCTGCTCGCAGATATTTGGAGAGCTTTGAGGCCTATTGTGGAAAAGGAAATATCTTCACATAAAAACACACAGGAAGCACTCTGAGAAACTTCTTTGTGAGGTGTGCTTTCAACTCACAGAGTTGAACCTATCTTTTGATTGAGAAGTTTTGAATCTCTCTTTTTGTAGAAGCTGCATGTGGATATTTGGAGACGTTTGTGGCCTATGGTAGAAAAGGAAATATCTTCAAATAAAAACTAGACAGACGCATTTTGAGAAAATTCTCTGTGCTGTGTGCATTCATATCACATGGTTGAAACTACCTTTGGATTGAGCAGTTTTGAATCTCACTTTTTGTACCATCTGCAATGGATATTTGGAGCCCTTTCTGGTCTGTGGTGGAAAAGGAACTATCCTCAAATAGAAACTACACAGAAGTACTCTGAGAAACTTCTTTGTGATGTGGGCATTCATCTCACAGAGTTGAACCTTTGGTTTGATTGAGCAGTTTTGAGACAATCTTTCCATAGAATCTGGAAGTGAATATTTGGAGAACTTTGAGATCCATTTTGGAGAAGGAGATATCTTTATATAAAAACTACACAGAAGCATTCTGAGAAACATCCTTGTGAGGTGTGCACTGAAGTCACAGAGTTGAAACTGTCTTTTGATTCAGCAGTTTTGAATCTCTCTTTTTGCAGAATCTGTGAGTGGATATTTGGAGCGCTTTGAGGCCTACTGTGGAAAACCAAATATCTTCACATAAAAACTACACAGAAGCATCCTGAGAAACCTTTTTTGTGATGTGGTCTTTCAGCTAATGGAGTAGAAACTATCTTTTGATTGAGCAGTTTTGAATCTCTCTTTTTGCAGAATCTACGAGTGGATAATTGGAGAACTTTGAGGCGTACTGTGGAAAATCGAATATCTTCGCATAAAAACTACACAGAAGCATTCTGAGAAACTTCTCTGTCATACGTACATTCATCTCACAGGGTTGATCCTATTTCATGATTGAGCAGTTTTGGAACACTCTTTTTGTAGAATCTGCAAGTGAATATTTGGAGCTCTTTGGGGCCTACTGTGGAAAAACAAATATCTTCACATAAAAACTACACAGAAG
Source organism: Homo sapiens (assembly GCF_000001405.40). Lineage (NCBI taxonomy): Eukaryota > Metazoa > Chordata > Mammalia > Primates > Hominidae > Homo > Homo sapiens. The sequence continues at coordinate 17,544,986 of NC_000015.10, forward strand.
CATTCTGAGAAACTACTTTGTGATGTGTGCATTCATCCCACAGAGTAGAACCTTTCTTTTGATTGAGCAGTTTCAAAACACGCTTTTGGTGGAATCTGCAAGTGGACATTTGGAAAGCTTTGAGGCCTATTGTGGAAAGGGAAATATCTTCAAATAAAAACCACCCAGAAGTACTCTGTGAAACTTCTTTGCGATGTATGCATTCAACTCACAGTGTTGAACCTATGTTTTGATTGAGCAGTTTGGAATCTCTCTTTCTGTAGAATCTGCAAGTGAATATTTGGAGCCCTATTTCGCCCTATACTGGAAAAGCAATTATCTTCAAATAAAAACTGCACAGAAGCACTCAGAGAAACTTCTTTGAGATGAATGCATTCATGACACAGAGTTGAAACTTTGTTTTGATTTAGGAGTTTTGAGACAATCTTTCCGTAGAATCTTGAAGTGAATATTTGGAGGGCTTGGAGTTCTGTTTTAGAGAAGAAGATATCTTCATCAAAAACTACACAGAAGCTTTCTGAGAAACTTCTTTGTGATGTGTGCATTCAACTATCGGAGTTGAACCTATCTTATGATTGAGCAGTTTGGAAACACTCTTTGTAGAGTCTGCAAGTGGATATTTACAGAGATTTGAGGCCTATTGTGGAAAAGGAAGTATCTTCACATAAAAACCACACAGAAGCACTCTGAAAAACATCTTTGGGATGTGTGCATTCAACTAACCGTGTTGAAACAATGTTTTGATTGAGCAGCTTAGAATCTCTCTTTTTGTAGGAAATGCAAGTGGATATTTGGAGCCCCATTTCGCCCTATGGTGAAAAACGAAACATACTCACAAAAAAGCTGCAGAGAAGCATTCTGAGAAACTTCTTTGCGATGTTGGCATTCAACTCACAGAGTCGAATCTATCTTTTGATAGAGCAGTTTTGTATCTCTCTTTTTGCAGAATCTGCAAGTGGATATTTGGAAAGCTTTGAGGCCTATTGTGGAAAGGGAAATATCCTCAAATAAAAACTACCCAGAAGCACTCTGTGAAACTTCTTTGTGATGTGTGCATTCAACTCACAGTGTTGAACCTATGTTTTGATTGAGCAGTTTGGAATCTCTCCTTTTGTAGAATCTGCAAGTGAATATTTGGAGCCCTATTTCGCCCTATACTGGAAAAGCAAATATCTTCAAATAAAAACTACACAGAGGCCTTCAGAGAAACTTCTCTGTGATGAGTGCATTCATCACACAGAGTTGAACATTTGTTTAGATTTAGCAGTGTTGAGACAATCTTTCCGTAGAATCTTGAAGTGAATATTTGGAGGGCTTTGAGACCTGCTTTGGAGAAGGAGATATCTTCATATAAAAACTACACAGAAGCTTTCTGAGAAACACCCTTGAGAGGTGTGCATTGAAGTCACAGAGTTAAACCTATCTTTTGATTCAGCAGATTTGAATCTCTCTTTTTGCAGAATCTGCGAGTGGATATTTGGAGTGCTTGGAAGCCTGCTGTGGAAAATCAAATATCTTCACAAAAAAAAACTACACAGAAGCATTCTGAGAAACTTCTTTGTGATGTGTGCATTGATCTCACAGAGTTGAAAGTTTATTTTGATTGAGCTGTTTTGAAACACTCTTTTTCTAGAATCTGCAAGTGGATAATTGGGGAGATTTGAGGCATATTGTGGAAAAGCAAATATCTTCATATAGAAACTATACAGAAACCTTCTGAGAAACATCTTTGTGATGTGTGCATTCAGCTCACAGAGCTGGACCTAACTTTTGAGTGACCAGTTTTGAATCTCTCTTTTTGTACAATATGCAAGTGGATATTTGGAGCGATTTGAGGCCTACATTTGAAAATCAAATATCTTCCCTTAAAAACTACACAGAAACATTCTCAGAAATTGTTTGTCATGTGTGCTTTCCAATTACCAAGTTGAACCTATCTTGTGATTGAGCAGTTTTGAATCTCTCTTTTTGTGGAATCGGCAAGTGGATATTTTTAGCCCTTTGCGGACTGTGGTGGAAAAGGAATTATCTTCAAATCAATTCTACACAGAAGCATTCAGACAAACTTCTTTGTGATGAGTGCATTGGTCACACAGAATTGAACCTTCCCTTTGATTGAGCAATTCTGAAACACTCTTTTGGAGGGTCTGCAAGTGGATATTTTAGAGCTTTGGGACAACTGTGGAAAAGTAAATATCTTCACATAAAAACTACACGGAAGCATTCTGAGAAACTTCTTTGGAGGTGTGCATTCAACTCACAGAGTTGAACCTATCTTTTCATTGAGCAGTTTTGAATCTCTCATTTTGTAGACTCTGCTCGCAGATATTTGGAGAGCTTTGAGGCCTATTGTGGAAAAGGAAATATCTTCACATAAAAACACACAGAAGCACTCTGAGAAACTTCTTTGTGAGGTGTGCTTTCAACTCACAGAGTTGAACCTATCTTTTGATTGAGAAGTTTTGAATCTCTCTTTTTGTAGAAGCTGCATGTGGATATTTGGAGACGTTTGTGGCCTATGGTAGAAAAGGAAATATCTTCAAATAAAAACTAGACAGACGCATTTTGAGAAAATTCTCTGTGCTGTGTGCATTCATATCACATGGTTGAAACTACCTTTGGATTCAGCAGTTTTGAATCTCACTTTTTGTACCATCTGCAATGGATATTTGGAGCCCTTTCTGGTCTGTGGTGGAAAAGGAACTATCCTCAAATAGAAACTACACAGAAGTACTCTGAGAAACTTCTTTGTGATGTGGGCATTCATCTCACAGCAGTTGAACCTTTGGTTTGATTGAGCAGTTTTGAGACAATCTTTCCATAGAATCTGGAAGTGAATATTTGGAGAACTTTGAGATCCATTTTGGAGAAGGAGATATCTTTATATGAAAACTACACAGAAGCATTCTGAGAAACATCCTTGTGAGGTGTGCACTGAAGTCACAGAGTTGAAACTGTCTTTTGATTCAGCAGTTTTGAATCTCTCTTTTTGCAGAATCTGTGAGTGGATATTTGGAGCGCTTTGAGGCCTACTGTGGAAAACCAAATATCTTCACATAAAAACTACACAGAAGCATCCTGAGAAACTTTTTTTGTGATGTGGTCTTTCAGCTAATGGAGTAGAAACTATCTTTTGATTGAGCAGTTTTGAATCTCTCTTTTTGCAGAATCTACGAGTGGATAATTGGAGAACTTTGAGGCGTACTGTGGAAAATCGAATATCTTCGCATAAAAACTACACAGAAGCATTCTGAGAAACTTCTCTGTCATACGTACATTCATCTCACAGGGTTGATCCTATTTCATGATTGAGCAGTTTTGGAACACTCTTTTTGTAGAATCTGCAAGTGAATATTTGGAGCTCCTTGGGGCCTACTGTGGAAAAACAAATATCTTCACATAAAAACTACACAGAAGCATTCTGAGAAACTACTTTGTGATGTGTGCATTCATCCCACAGAGTAGAACCTTTCTTTTGATTGAGCAGTTTCGAAACACTCTTTTGGTGGAATCTGCAAGTGGACATTTGGAAAGCTTTGAGGCCTATTGTGGAAAGGGAAATATCTTCAAATAAAAGCCACCCAGAAGTACTCTTTGAAACTTCTTTGCGATGTATGCATTCAACTCACAGTGTTGAACCTATGTTTTGATTGAGCAGTTTGGAATCTCTCTTTCTGTAGAATCTGCAAGTGAATATTTGGAGCCCTATTTCGCCCTATACTGGAAAAGCAATTATCTTCAAATAAAAACTGCACAGAAGCATTCAGAGAAACTTCTTTGAGATGAATGCATTCATGACACAGAGTTGAAACTTTGTTTTGATTTAGGAGTTTTGAGACAATCTTTCCGTAGAATCTTGAAGTGAATATTTGGAGGGCTTGGAGTTCTGTTTTAGAGAAGGAGATATCTTCATCAAAAACTACACAGAAGCTTTCTGAGAAACTTCTTTGTGATGTGTGCATTCAACTATCGGAGTTGAACCTATCTTATGATTGAGCAGTTTGGAAACACTCTTTGTAGAGTCTGCAAGTGGATATTTACAGAGATTTGAGGCCTATTGTGGAAAAGGAAGTATCTTCACATAAAAACCACACAGAAGCACTCTGAAAAACATCTTTGGGATGTGTGCATTCAACTAACCGTGTTGAAACAATGTTTTGATTGAGCAGCTTAGAATCTCTCTTTTTGTAGGAAATGCAAGTGGATATTTGGAGCCCCATTTCGCCCTATGGTGGAAAACGAAACATACTCACAAAAAAGCTGCAGAGAAGCATTCTGAGAAACTTCTTTGCGATGTTGGCATTCAACTCACAGAGTCGAATCTATCTTTTGATAGAGCAGTTTTGTATCTCTCTTTTTGCAGAATCTGCAAGTGGATATTTGGAAAGCTTTGAGGCCTATTGTGGAAAGGGAAATATCCTCAAATAAAAACTACCCAGAAGCACTCTGTGAAACTTCTTTGTGATGTGTGCATTCAACTCACAGTGTTGAACCTATGTTTTGATTGAGCAGTTTGGAATCTCTCCTTTTGTAGAATCTGCAAGTGAATATTTGGAGCCCTATTTCGCCCTATACTGGAAAAGCAAATATCTTCAAATAAAAACTACACAGAGGCATTCAGAGAAACTTCTCTGTGATGAGTGCATTCATCACACAGAGTTGAACATTTGTTTAGATTTAGCAGTGTTGAGACAATCTTTCCGTAGAATCTTGAAGTGAATATTTGGAGGGCTTTGAGACCTGCTTTGGAGAAGGAGATATCTTCATATAAAAACTACACAGAAGCTTTCTGAGAAACACCCTTGTGAGGTGTGCATTGAAGTCACAGAGTTAAACCTATCTTTTGATTCAGCAGATTTGAATCTCTCTTTTTGCAGAATCTGCGAGTGGATATTTGGAGTGCTTGGAAGCCTGCTGTGGAAAATCAAATATCTTCACAAAAAAAACTACACAGAAGCATTCTGAGAAACTTCTTTGTGATGTGTGCATTGATCTCACAGAGTTGAAAGTTTATTTTGATTGAGCTGTTTTGAAACACTCTTTTTCTAGAATCTGCAAGTGGATAATTGGGGAGATTTGAGGCATATTGTGGAAAAGCCAATATCTTCATATAAAAACTATACAGAAACCTTCTGAGAAACATCTTTGTGATGTGTGCATTCAGCTCACAGAGCTGGACCTAACTTTTGAGTGACCAGTTTTGAATCTCTCTTTTTGTACAATATGCAAGTGGATATTTGGAGCGATTTGAGGCCTACATTTGAAAATCAAATATCTTCCCTTAAAAACTACACAGAAACATTCTCAGAAATTGTTTGTCATGTGTGCTTTCCAATTACCAAGTTGAACCTATCTTGTGATTGAGCAGTTTTGAATCTCTCTTTTTGTGGAATCGGCAAGTGGATATTTTTAGCCCTTTGCGGACTGTGGTGGAAAAGGAATTATCTTCAAATCAATTCTACACAGAAGCATTCAGACAAACTTCTTTGTGATGAGTGCATTGGTCACACAGAATTGAACCTTCCCTTTGATTGAGCAATTCTGAAACACTCTTTTGGAGGGTCTGCAAGTGGATATTTTAGAGCTTTGGGACAACTGTGGAAAAGTAAATATCTTCACATAAAAACTACACGGAAGCATTCTGAGAAACTTCTTTGGAGGTGTGCATTCAACTCACAGAGTTGAACCTATCTTTTCATTGAGCAGTTTTGAATCTCTCATTTTGTAGACTCTGCTCGCAGATATTTGGAGAGCTTTGAGGCCTATTGTGGAAAAGGAAATATCTTCACATAAAAACACACAGAAGCACTCTGAGAAACTTCTTTGTGAGGTGTGCTTTCAACTCACAGAGTTGAACCTATCTTTTGATTGAGAAGTTTTGAATCTCTCTTTTTGTAGAAGCTGCATGTGGATATTTGGAGACGTTTGTGGCCTATGGTAGAAAAGGAAATATCTTCAAATAAAAACTAGACAGACGCATTTTGAGAAAATTCTCTGTGCTGTGTGCATTCATATCACATGGTTGAAACTACCTTTGGATTGAGCAGTTTTGAATCTCACTTTTTGTACCATCTGCAATGGATATTTGGAGCCCTTTCTGGTCTGTGGTGGAAAAGGAACTATCCTCAAATAGAAACTACACAGAAGTACTCTGAGAAACTTCTTTGTGATGTGGGCATTCATCTCACAGAGTTGAACCTTTGGTTTGATTGAGCAGTTTTGAGACAATCTTTCCATAGAATCTGGAAGTGAATATTTGGAGAACTTTGAGATCCATTTTGGAGAAGGAGATATCTTTATATAAAAACTACACAGAAGCATTCTGAGAAACATCCTTGTGAGGTGTGCACTGAAGTCACAGAGTTGAAACTGTCTTTTGATTCAGCAGTTTGGAATCTCTCTTTTTGCAGAATCTGTGAGTGGATATTTGGAGCGCTTTGAGGCCTACTGTGGAAAACCAAATATCTTCACATAAAAACTACACAGAAGCATCCTGAGCAAACTTTTTTTGTGATGTGGTCTTTCAGCTAATGGAGTAGAAACTATCTTTTGATTGAGCAGTTTTGAATCTCTCTTTTTGCATAATCTACGAGTGGATAATTGGAGAACTTTGAGGCGTACTGTGGAAAATCGAATATCTTCGCATAAAAACTACACAGAAGCATTCTGAGAAACTTCTCTGTCATACGTACATTCATCTCACAGGGTTGATCCTATTTCATGATTGAGCAGTTTTGGAACACTCTTTTTGTAGAATCTGCAAGTGAATATTTGGAGCTCTTTGGGGCCTACTGTGGAAAAACAAATATCTTCACATAAAAACTACACAGAAGCATTCTGAGAAACTACTTTGTGATGTGTGCATTCATCCCACAGAGTAGAACCTTTCTTTTGATTGAGCAGTTTCGAAACACTCTTTTGGTGGAATCTGCAAGTGGACATTTGGAAAGCTTTGAGGCCTATTGTGGAAAGGGAAATATCTTCAAATAAAAACCACCCAGAAGTACTCTGTGAAACTTCTTTGCGATGTATGCATTCAACTCACAGTGTTGAACCTAAGTTTTGATTGAGCAGTTTGGAATCTCTCTTTCTGTAGAATCTGCAAGTGAATATTTGGAGCCCTATTTCGCCCTATACTGGAAAAGCAATTATCTTCAAATAAAAACTGCACAGAAGCATTCAGAGAAACTTCTTTGACATGAATGCATTCATGACACAGAGTTGAAACTTTGTTTTGATTTAGGAGTTTTGAGACAATCTTTCCGTAGAATCTTGAAGTGAATATTTGGAGGGCTTGGAGTTCTGTTTTAGAGAAGGAGATATCTTCATCAAAAACTACACAGAAGCTTTCTGAGAAACTTCTTTGTGATGTGTGCATTCAACTATCGGAGTTGAACCTAACTTATGATTGAGCAGTTTGGAAACACTCTTTGTAGAGTCTGCAAGTGGATATTTACAGAGATTTGAGGCCTATTGTGGAAAAGGAAGTATCTTCACATAAAAACCACACAGAAGCACTCTGAAAAACATCTTTGGGGATGTGTGCATTCAACTAACCGTGTTGAAACAATGTTTTGATTGAGCAGCTTAGAATCTCTCTTTTTGTAGGAAATGCAAGTGGATATTTGGAGCCCCATTTCGCCCTATGGTGGAAAACGAAACATACTCACAAAAAAGCTGCAGAGAAGCATTCTGAGAAACTTCTTTGCGATGTTGGCATTCAACTCACAGAGTCGAATCTATCTTTTGATAGAGCAGTTTTGTATCTCTCTTTTTGCAGAATCTGCAAGTGGATATTTGGAAAGCTTTGAGGCCTATTGTGGAAAGGGAAATATCCTCAAATAAAAACTACCCAGAAGCACTCTGTGAAACTTCTTTGTGATGTGTGCATTCAACTCACAGTGTTGAACCTATGTTTTGATTGAGCAGTTTGGAATCTCTCCTTTTGTAGAATCTGCAAGTGAATATTTGGAGCCCTATTTCGCCCTATACTGGAAAAGCAAATATCTTCAAATAAAAACTACACAGAGGCCTTCAGAGAAACTTCTCTGTGATGAGTGCATTCATCACACAGAGTTGAACATTTGTTTAGATTTAGCAGTGTTGAGACAATCTTTCCGTAGAATCTTGAAGTGAATATTTGGAGGGCTTTGAGACCTGCTTTGGAGAAGGAGATATCTTCATATAAAAACTACACAGAAGCTTTCTGAGAAACACCCTTGTGAGGTGTGCATTGAAGTCACAGAGTTAAACCTATCTTTTGATTCAGCAGATTTGAATCTCTCTTTTTGCAGAATCTGCGAGTGGATATTTGGAGTGCTTGGAAGCCTGCTGTGGAAAATCAAATATCTTCACAAAAAAAACTACACAGAAGCATTCTGAGAAACTTCTTTGTGATGTGTGCATTGATCTCACAGAGTTGAAAGTTTATTTTGATTGAGCTGTTTTGAAACACTCTTTTTCTAGAATCTGCAAGTGGATAATTGGGGAGATTTGAGGCATATTGTGGAAAAGCCAATATCTTCATATAGAAACTATACAGAAACCTTCTGAGAAACATCTTTGTGATGTGTGCATTCAGCTCACAGAGCTGGACCTAACTTTTGAGTGACCAGTTTTGAATCTCTCTTTTTGTACAATATGCAAGTGGATATTTGGAGCGATTTGAGGCCTACATTTGAAAATCAAATATCTTCCCTTAAAAACTACACAGAAACATTCTCAGAAATTGTTTGTCATGTGTGCTTTCCAATTACCAAGTTGAACCTATCTTGTGATTGAGCAGTTTTGAATCTCTCTTTTTGTGGAATCGGCAAGTGGATATTTTTAGCCCTTTGCGGACTGTGGTGGAAAAGGAATTATCTTCAAATCAATTCTACACAGAAGCATTCAGACAAACTTCTTTGTGATGAGTGCATTGGTCACACAGAATTGAACCTTCCCTTTGATTGAGCAATTCTGAAACACTCTTTTGGAGGGTCTGCAAGTGGATATTTTAGAGCTTTGGGACAACTGTGGAAAAGTAAATATCTTCACATAAAAACTACACGGAAGCATTCTGAGAAACTTCTTTGGAGGTGTGCATTCAACTCACAGAGTTGAACCTATCTTTTCATTGAGCAGTTTTGAATCTCTCATTTTGTAGACTCTGCTCGCAGATATTTGGAGAGCTTTGAGGCCTATTGTGGAAAAGGAAATATCTTCACATAAAAACACACAGAAGCACTCTGAGAAATTTCTTTGTGAGGTGTGCTTTCAACTCACAGATTTGAACCTATCTTTTGATTGAGAAGTTTTGAATCTCTCTTTTTGTAGAAGCTGCATGTGGATATTTGGAAACGTTTGTGGCCTATGGTAGAAAAGGAAATATCTTCAAATAAAAACTAGACAGACGCATTTTGAGAAAATTCTCTGTGCTGTGTGCATTCATATCACATGGTTGAAACTACCTTTGGATTGAGCAGTTTTGAATCTCACTTTTTGTACCATCTGCAATGGATATTTGGAGCCCTTTCTGGTCTGTGGTGGAAAAGGAACTATCCTCAAATAGAAACTACACAGAAGTACTCTGAGAAACTTCTTTGTGATGTGGGCATTCATCTCACAGAGTTGAACCTTTGGTTTGATTGAGCAGTTTTGAGACAATCTTTCCATAGAATCTGGAAGTGAATATTTGGAGAACTTTGAGATCCATTTTGGAGAAGGAGATATCTTTATATAAAAACTACACAGAAGCATTCTGAGAAACATCCTTGTGAGGTGTGCACTGAAGTCACAGAGTTGAAACTGTCTTTTGATTCAGCAGTTTTGAATCTCTCTTTTTGCAGAATCTGTGAGTGGATATTTGGAGCGCTTTGAGGCCTACTGTGGAAAACCAAATATCTTCACATAAAAACTACACAGAAGCATCCTGAGAAACTTTTTTTGTGATGTGGTCTTTCAGCTAATGGAGTAGAAACTATCTTTTGATTGAGCAGTTTTGAGTCTCTCTTTTTGCAGAATCTACGAGTGGATAATTGGAGAACTTTGAGGCGTACTGTGGAAAATCGAATATCTTCGCATAAAAACTACACAGAAGCATTCTGAGAAACTTCTCTGTCATACGTACATTCATCTCACAGGGTTGATCCTATTTCATGATTGAGCAGTTTTGGAACACTCTTTTTGTAGAATCTGCAAGTGAATATTTGGAGCTCTTTGGGGCCTACTGTGGAAAAACAAATATCTTCACATAAAAACTACACAGAAGCATTCTGAGAAACTACTTTGTGATGTGTGCATTCATCCCACAGAGTAGAACCTTTCTTTTGATTGAGCAGTTTCGAAACACTCTTTTGGTGGAATCTGCAAGTGGACATTTGGAAAGCTTTGAGGCCTATTGTGGAAAGGGAAATATCTTCAAATAAAAACCACCCAGAAGTACTCTGTGAAACTTCTTTGCGATGTATGCATTCAACTCACAGTGTTGAACCTATGTTTTGATTGAGCAGTTTGGAATCTCTCTTTCTGTAGAATCTGCAAGTGAATATTTGGAGCCCTATTTCGCCCTATACTGGAAAAGCAATTATCTTCAAATAAAAACTGCACAGAAGCATTCAGAGAAACTTCTTTGAGATGAATGCATTCATGACACAGAGTTGAAACTTTGTTTTGATTTAGGAGTTTTGAGACAATCTTTCCGTAGAATCTTGAAGTGAATATTTGGAGGGCTTGGAGTTCTGTTTTAGAGAAGAAGATATCTTCATCAAAAACTACACAGAAGCTTTCTGAGAAACTTCTTTGTGATGTGTGCATTCAACTATCGGAGTTGAACCTATCTTATGATTGAGGAGTTTGGAAACACTCTTTGTAGAGTCTGCAAGTGGATATTTACAGAGATTTGAGGCCTATTGTGGAAAAGGAAGTATCTTCACATAAAAACCACACAGAAGCACTCTGAAAAACATCTTTGGGATGTGTGCATTCAACTAACCGTGTTGAAACAATGTTTTGATTGAGCAGCTTAGAATCTCTCTTTTTGTAGGAAATGCAAGTGGATATTTGGAGCCCCATTTCGCCCTATGGTGGAAAACGAAACATACTCACAAAAAAGCTGCAGAGAAGCATTCTGAGAAACTTCTTTGCGATGTTGGCATTCAACTCACAGAGTCGAATCTATCTTTTGATAGAGCAGTTTTGTATCTCTCTTTTTGCAGAATCTGCAAGTGGATATTTGGAAAGCTTTGAGGCCTATTGTGGAAAGGGAAATATCCTCAAATAAAAACTACCCAGAAGCACTCTGTGAAACTTCTTTGTGATGTGTGCATTCAACTCACAGTGTTGAACCTATGTTTTGATTGAGCAGTTTGGAATCTCTCCTTTTGTAGAATCTGCAAGTGAATATTTGGAGCCCTATTTCGCCCTATACTGGAAAAGCAAATATCTTCAAATAAAAACTACACAGAGGCATTCAGAGAAACTTCTCTGTGATGAGTGCATTCATCACACAGAGTTGAACATTTGTTTAGATTTAGCAGTGTTGAGACAATCTTTCCGTAGAATCTTGAAGTGAATATTTGGAGGGCTTTGAGACCTGCTTTGGAGAAGGAGATATCTTCATATAAAAACTACACAGAAGCTTTCTGAGAAACACCCTTGTGAGGTGTGCATTGAAGTCACAGAGTTAAACCTATCTTTTGATTCAGCAGATTTGAATCTCTCTTTTTGCAGAATCTGCGAGTGGATATTTGGAGTGCTTGGAAGCCTGCTGTGGAAAATCAAATTCTTCACAAAAAAAACTACACAGAAAGCATTCTGAGTAAACTTCTTTGTGATGTGTGCATTGATCTCACAGAGTTGAAAGTTTATTTTGATTGAGCTGTTTTGAAACACTCTTTTTCTAGAATCTGCAAGTGGATAATTGGGGAGATTTGAGGCATATTGTGGAAAAGCAAATATCTTCATATAGAAACTATACAGAAACCTTCTGAGAAACATCTTTGTGATGTGTGCATTCAGCTCACAGAGCTGGACCTAACTTTTGAGTGACCAGTTTTGAATCTCTCTTTTTGTACAATATGCAAGTGGATATTTGGAGCGATTTGAGGCCTACATTTGAAAATCAAATATCTTCCCTTAAAAACTACACAGAAACATTCTCAGAAATTGTTTGTCATGTGTGCTTTCCAATTACCAAGTTGAACCTATCTTGTGATTGAGCAGTTTTGAATCTCTCTTTTTGTGGAATCGGCAAGTGGATATTTTTAGCCCTTTGCGGACTGTGGTGGAAAAGGAATTATCTTCAAATCAATTCTACACAGAAGCATTCAGACAAACTTCTTTGTGATGAGTGCATTGGTCACACAGAATTGAACCTTCCCTTTGATTGAGCAATTCTGAAACACTCTTTTGGAGGGTCTGCAAGTGGATATTTTAGAGCTTTGGGACAGCTGTGGAAAAGTAAATATCTTCACATAAAAACTACACGGAAGCATTCTGAGAAACTTCTTTGGAGGTGTGCATTCAACTCACAGAGTTGAACCTATCTTTTCATTGAGCAGTTTTGAATCTCTCATTTTGTAGACTCTGCTCGCAGATATTTGGAGAGCTTTGAGGCCTATTGTGGAAAAGGAAATATCTTCACATAAAAACACACAGAAGCACTCTGAGAAACTTCTTTGTGAGGTGTGCTTTCAACTCACAGAGTTGAACCTATCTTTTGATTGAGAAGTTTTGAATCTCTCTTTTTGTAGAAGCTGCATGTGGATATTTGGAGACGTTTGTGGCCTATGGTAGAAAAGGAAATATCTTCAAATAAAAACTAGACAGACGCATTTTGAGAAAATTCTCTGTGCTGTGTGCATTCATATCACATGGTTGAAACTACCTTTGGATTGAGCAGTTTTGAATCTCACTTTTTGTACCATCTGCAATGGATATTTGGAGCCCTTTCTGGTCTGTGGTGGAAAAGGAACTATCCTCAAATAGAAACTACACAGAAAAGTACTCTGAGAAACTTCTTTGTGATGTGGGCATTCATCTCACAGGAGTTGAACCTTTGGTTTGATTGAGCAGTTTTGAGACAATCTTTCCATAGAATCTGGAAGTGAATATTTGGAGAACTTTGAGATCCATTTTGGGGAAGGAGATATCTTTATATAAAAACTACACAGAAGCATTCTGAGAAACATCCTTGTGAGGTGTGCACTGAAGTCACAGAGTTGAAACTGTCTTTTGATTCAGCAGTTTTGAATCTCTCTTTTTGCAGAATCTGTGAGTGGATATTTGGAGCGCTTTGAGGCCTACTGTGGAAAACCAAATATCTTCACATAAAAACTACACAGAAGCATCCTGAGAAACTTTTTTTGTGATGTGGTCTTTCAGCTAATGGAGTAGAAACTATCTTTTGATTGAGCAGTTTTGAATCTCTCTTTTTGCAGAATCTACGAGTGGATAATTGGAGAACTTTGAGGCGTACTGTGGAAAATCGAATATCTTCGCATAAAAACTACACAGAAGCATTCTGAGAAACTTCTCTGTCATACGTACATTCATCTCACAGGGTTGATCCTATTTCATGATTGAGCAGTTTTGGAACACTCTTTTTGTAGAATCTGCAAGTGAATATTTGGAGCTCCTTGGGGCCTACTGTGGAAAAACAAATATCTTCACATAAAAACTACACAGAAGCATTCTGAGAAACTACTTTGTGATGTGTGCATTCACCCCACAGAGTAGAACCTTTCTTTTGATTGAGCAGTTTCGAAACACTCTTTTGGTGGAATCTGCAAGTGGACATTTGGAAAGCTTTGAGGCCTATTGTGGAAAGGGAAATATCTTCAAATAAAAACCACCCAGAAGTACTCTGTGAAACTTCTTTGCGATGTATGCATTCAACTCACAGTGTTGAACCTATGTTTTGATTGAGCAGTTTGGAATCTCTCTTTCTGTAGAATCTGCAAGTGAATATTTGGAGCCCTATTTCGCCCTATACTGGAAAAGCAATTATCTTCAAATAAAAACTGCACAGAAGCATTCAGAGAAACTTCTTTGAGATGAATGCATTCATGACACAGAGTTGAAACTTTGTTTTGATTTAGGAGTTTTGAGACAATCTTTCCGTAGAATCTTGAAGTGAATATTTGGAGGGCTTGGAGTTCTGTTTTAGAGAAGAAGATATCTTCATCAAAAACTACACAGAAGCTTTCTGAGAAACTTCTTTGTGATGTGTGCATTCAACTATCGGAGTTGAACCTATCTTATGATTGAGCAGTTTGGAAACACTCTTTGTAGAGTCTGCAAGTGGATATTTACAGAGATTTGAGGCCTATTGTGGAAAAGGAAGTATCTTCACATAAAAACCACACAGAAGCACTCTGAAAAACATCTTTGGGATGTGTGCATTCAACTAACCGTGTTGAAACAATGTTTTGATTGAGCAGCTTAGAATCTCTCTTTTTGTAGGAAATGCAAGTGGATATTTGGAGCCCCATTTCGCCCTATGGTGGAAAACGAAACATACTCACAAAAAAGCTGCAGAGAAGCATTCTGAGAAACTTCTTTGCGATGTTGGCATTCAACTCACAGAGTCGAATCTATCTTTTGATAGAGCAGTTTTGTATCTCTCTTTTTGCAGAATCTGCAAGTGGATATTTGGAAAGCTTTGAGGCCTATTGTGGAAAGGGAAATATCCTCAAATAAAAACTACCCAGAAGCACTCTGTGAAACTTCTTTGTGATGTGTGCATTCAACTCACAGTGTTGAACCTATGTTTTGATTGAGCAGTTTGGAATCTCTCCTTTTGTAGAATCTGCAAGTGAATATTTGGAGCCCTATTTCGCCCTATACTGGAAAAGCAAATATCTTCAAATAAAAACTACACAGAGGCATTCAGAGAAACTTCTCTGTGATGAGTGCATTCATCACACAGAGTTGAACATTTGTTTAGATTTAGCAGTGTTGAGACAATCTTTCCGTAGAATCTTGAAGTGAATATTTGGAGGGCTTTGAGACCTGCTTTGGAGAAGGAGATATCTTCATATAAAAACTACACAGAAGCTTTCTGAGAAACACCCTTGTGAGGTGTGCATTGAAGTCACAGAGTTAAACCTATCTTTTGATTCAGCAGATTTGAATCTCTCTTTTTGCAGAATCTGCGAGTGGATATTTGGAGTGCTTGGAAGCCTGCTGTGGAAAATCAAATATCTTCACAAAAAAAACTACACAGAAGCATTCTGAGAAACTTCTTTGTGATGTGTGCATTGATCTCACAGAGTTGAAAGTTTATTTTGATTGAGCTGTTTTGAAACACTCTTTTTCTAGAATCTGCAAGTGGATAATTGGGGAGATTTGAGGCATATTGTGGAAAAGCAAATATCTTCATATAGAAACTATACAGAAACCTTCTGAGAAACATCTTTGTGATGTGTGCATTCAGCTCACAGAGCTGGACCTAACTTTTGAGTGACCAGTTTTGAATCTCTCTTTTTGTACAATATGCAAGTGGATATTTGGAGCGATTTGAGGCCTACATTTGAAAATCAAATATCTTCCCTTAAAAACTACACAGAAACATTCTCAGAAATTGTTTGTCATGTGTGCTTTCCAATTACCAAGTTGAACCTATCTTGTGATTGAGCAGTTTTGAATCTCTCTTTTTGTGGAATCGGCAAGTGGATATTTTTAGCCCTTTGCGGACTGTGGTGGAAAAGGAATTATCTTCAAATCAATTCTACACAGAAGCATTCAGACAAACTTCTTTGTGATGAGTGCATTGGTCACACAGAATTGAACCTTCCCTTTGATTGAGCAATTCTGAAACACTCTTTTGGAGGGTCTGCAAGTGGACATTTTAGAGCTTTGGGACAACTGTGGAAAAGTAAATATCTTCACATAAAAACTACACGGAAGCATTCTGAGAAACTTCTTTGGAGGTGTGCATTCAACTCACAGAGTTGAACCTATCTTTTCATTGAGCAGTTTTGAATCTCTCATTTTGTAGACTCTGCTCGCAGATATTTGGAGAGCTTTGAGGCCTATTGTGGAAAAGGAAATATCTTCACATAAAAACACACAGAAGCACTCTGAGAAACTTCTTTGTGAGGTGTGCTTTCAACTCACAGAGTTGAACCTATCTTTTGATTGAGAAGTTTTGAATCTCTCTTTTTGTAGAAGCTGCATGTGGATATTTGGAGACGTTTGTGGCCTATGGTAGAAAAGAAAATATCTTCAAATAAAAACTAGACAGACGCATTTTGAGAAAATTCTCTGTGCTGTGTGCATTCATATCACATGGTTGAAACTACCTTTGGATTGAGCAGTTTTGAATCTCACTTTTTGTACCATCTGCAATGGATATTTGGAGCCCTTTCTGGTCTGTGGTGGAAAAGGAACTATCCTCAAATAGAAACTACACAGAAGTACTCTGAGAAACTTCTTTGTGATGTGGGCATTCATCTCACAGAGTTGAACCTTTGGTTTGATTGAGCAGTTTTGAGACAATCTTTCCATAGAATCTGGAAGTGAATATTTGGAGAACTTTGAGATCCATTTTGGAGAAGGAGATATCTTTATATGAAAACTACACAGAAGCATTCTGAGAAACATCCTTGTGAGGTGTGCACTGAAGTCACAGTAGTTGAAACTGTCTTTTGATTCAGCAGTTTTGAATCTCTCTTTTTGCAGAATCTGTGAGTGGATATTTGGAGCGCTTTGAGGCCTACTGTGGAAAACCAAATATCTTCACATAAAAACTACACAGAAGCATCCTGAGAAACTTTTTTTGTGATGTGGTCTTTCAGCTAATGGAGTAGAAACTATCTTTTGATTGAGCAGTTTTGAATCTCTCTTTTTGCAGAATCTACGAGTGGATAATTGGAGAACTTTGAGGCGTACTGTGGAAAATCGAATATCTTCGCATAAAAACTACACAGAAGCATTCTGAGAAACTTCTCTGTCATACGTACATTCATCTCACAGGGTTGATCCTATTTCATGATTGAGCAGTTTTGGAACACTCTTTTTGTAGAATCTGCAAGTGAATATTTGGAGCTCTTTGGGGCCTACTGTGGAAAAACAAATATCTTCACATAAAAACTACACAGAAGCATTCTGAGAAACTACTTTGTGATGTGTGCATTCATCCCACAGAGTAGAACCTTTCTTTTGATTGAGCAGTTTCGAAACACGCTTTTGGTGGAATCTGCAAGTGGACATTTGGAAAGCTTTGAGGCCTATTGTGGAAAGGGAAATATCTTCAAATAAAAACCACCCAGAAGTACTCTGTGAAACTTCTTTGCGATGTATGCATTCAACTCACAGTGTTGAACCTATGTTTTGATTGAGCAGTTTGGAATCTCTCTTTCTGTAGAATCTGCAAGTGAATATTTGGAGCCCTATTTCGCCCTATACTGGAAAAGCAATTATCTTCAAATAAAAACTGCACAGAAGCATTCAGAGAAACTTCTTTGAGATGAATGCATTCATGACACAGAGTTGAAACTTTGTTTTGATTTAGGAGTTTTGAGACAATCTTTCCGTAGAATCTTGAAGTGAATATTTGGAGGGCTTGGAGTTCTGTTTTAGAGAAGGAGATATCTTCATCAAAAACTACACAGAAGCTTTCTGAGAAACTTCTTTGTGATGTGTGCATTCAACTATCAGAGTTGAACCTATCTTATGATTGAGCAGTTTGGAAACACTCTTTGTAGAGTCTGCAAGTGGATATTTACAGAGATTTGAGGCCTATTGTGGAAAAGGAAGTATCTTCACATAAAAACCACACAGAAGCACTCTGAGAAACATCTTTGGGATGTGTGCATTCAACTAACCGTGTTGAAACAATGTTTTGATTGAGCAGCTTAGAATCTCTCTTTTTGTAGGAAATGCAAGTGGATATTTGGAGCCCCATTTCGCCCTATGGTGGAAAACGAAACATACTCACAAAAAAGCTGCAGAGAAGCATTCTGAGAAACTTCTTTGCGATGTTGGCATTCAACTCACAGAGTCGAATCTATCTTTTGATAGAGCAGTTTTGTATCTCTCTTTTTGCAGAATCTGCAAGTGGATATTTGGAAAGCTTTGAGGCCTATTGTGGAAAGGGAAATATCCTCAAATAAAAACTACCCAGAAGCACTCTGTGAAACTTCTTTGTGATGTGTGCATTCAACTCACAGTGTTGAACCTATGTTTTGATTGAGCAGTTTGGAATCTCTCCTTTTGTAGAATCTGCAAGTGAATATTTGGAGCCCTATTTCGCCCTATACTGGAAAAGCAAATATCTTCAAATAAAAACTACACAGAGGCATTCAGAGAAACTTCTCTGTGATGAGTGCATTCATCACACAGAGTTGAACATTTGTTTAGATTTAGCAGTGTTGAGACAATCTTTCCGTAGAATCTTGAAGTGAATATTTGGAGGGCTTTGAGACCTGCTTTGGAGAAGAGATATCTTCATATAAAAACTACACAGAAGCTTTCTGAGCAAACACCCTTGTGAGGTGTGCATTGAAGTCACAGAGTTAAACCTATCTTTTGATTCAGCAGATTTGAATCTCTCTTTTTGCAGAATCTGCGAGTGGATATTTGGAGTGCTTGGAAGCCTGCTGTGGAAAATCAAATATCTTCACAAAAAAAACTACACAGAAGCATTCTGAGAAACTTCTTTGTGATGTGTGCATTGATCTCACAGAGTTGAAAGTTTATTTTGATTGAGCTGTTTTGAAACACTCTTTTTCTAGAATCTGCAAGTGGATAATTGGGGAGATTTGAGGCATATTGTGGAAAAGCAAATATCTTCATATAGAAACTATACAGAAACCTTCTGGGAAACATCTTTGTGATGTGTGCATTCAGCTCACAGAGCTGGACCTAACTTTTGAGTGACCAGTTTTGAATCTCTCTTTTTGTACAATATGCAAGTGGATATTTGGAGCGATTTGAGGCCTACATTTGAAAATCAAATATCTTCCCTTAAAAACTACACAGAAATATTCTCAGAAATTGTTTGTCATGTGTGCTTTCCAATTACCAAGTTGAACCTATCTTGTGATTGAGCAGTTTTGAATCTCTCTTTTTGTGGAATCGGCAAGTGGATATTTTTAGCCCTTTGCGGACTGTGGTGGAAAAGGAATTATCTTCAAATCAATTCTACACAGAAGCATTCAGACAAACTTCTTTGTGATGAGTGCATTGGTCACACAGAATTGAACCTTCCCTTTGATTGAGCAATTCTGAAACACTCTTTTGGAGGGTCTGCAAGTGGACATTTTAGAGCTTTGGGACAACTGTGGAAAAGTAAATATCTTCACATAAAAACTACACGGAAGCATTCTGAGAAACTTCTTTGGAGGTGTGCATTCAACTCACAGAGTTGAACCTATCTTTTCATTGAGCAGTTTTGAATCTCTCATTTTGTAGACTCTGCTCGCAGATATTTGGAGAGCTTTGAGGCCTATTGTGGAAAAGGAAATATCTTCACATAAAAACACACAGAAGCACTCTGAGAAACTTCTCTGTGAGGTGTGCTTTCAACTCACAGAGTTGAACCTATCTTTTGATTGAGAAGTTTTGAATCTCTCTTTTTGTAGAAGCTGCATGTGGATATTTGGAGACGTTTGTGGCCTATGGTAGAAAAGGAAATATCTTCAAATAAAAACTAGACAGACGCATTTTGAGAAAATTCTCTGTGCTGTGTGCATTCATATCACATGGTTGAAACTACCTTTGGATTGAGCAGTTTTGAATCTCACTTTTTGTACCATCTGCAATGGATATTTGGAGCCCTTTCTGGTCTGTGGTGGAAAAGGAACTATCCTCAAATAGAAACTACACAGAAGTACTCTGAGAAACTTCTTTGTGATGTGGGCATTCATCTCACAGAGTTGAACCTTTGGTTTGATTGAGCAGTTTTGAGACAATCTTTCCATAGAATCTGGAAGTGAATATTTGGAGAACTTTGAGATCCATTTTGGAGAAGGAGATATCTTTATATAAAAACTCCACAGAAGCATTCTGAGAAACATCCTTGTGAGGTGTGCACTGAAGTCACAGAGTTGAAACTGTCTTTTGATTCAGCAGTTTTGAATCTCTCTTTTTGCAGAATCTGTGAGTGGATATTTGGAGCGCTTTGAGGCCTACTGTGGAAAACCAAATATCTTCACATAAAAACTACACAGAAGCATCCTGAGAAACTTTTTTTGTGATGTGGTCTTTCAGCTAATGGAGTAGAAACTATCTTTTGATTGAGCAGTTTTGAATCTCTCTTTTTGCATAATCTACGAGTGGATAATTGGAGAACTTTGAGGCGTACTGTGGAAAATCGAATATCTTCGCATAAAAACTACACAGAAGCATTCTGAGAAACTTCTCTGTCATACGTACATTCATCTCACAGGGTTGATCCTATTTCATGATTGAGCAGTTTTGGAACACTCTTTTTGTAGAATCTGCAAGTGAATATTTGGAGCTCTTTGGGGCCTACTGTGGAAAAACAAATATCTTCACATAAAAACTACACAGAAGCATTCTGAGAAACTACTTTGTGATGTGTGCATTCATCCCACAGAGTAGAACCTTTCTTTTGATTGAGCAGTTTCGAAACACTCTTTTGGTGGAATCTGCAAGTGGACATTTGGAAAGCTTTGAGGCCTATTGTGGAAAGGGAAATATCTTCAAATAAAAACCACCCAGAAGTACTCTGTGAAACTTCTTTGCGATGTATGCATTCAACTCACAGTGTTGAACCTATGTTTTGATTGAGCAGTTTGGAATCTCTCTTTCTGTAGAATCTGCAAGTGAATATTTGGAGCCCTATTTCGCCCTATACTGGAAAAGCAATTATCTTCAAATAAAAACTGCACAGAAGCACTCAGAGAAACTTCTTTGTGATGAATGCATTCATCACACAGAGTTGAACCTTTGTTTTGATTTAGCAGTTTGAGACAATCTTTCCGTAGAATCTTGAAGTGAATATTTGGAGGGCTTGGAGTTCTGTTTTAGAGAAGGAGATATCTTCATCAAAAACTACACAGAAGCTTTCCGAGAAACTTCTTTGTGATGTGTGCATTCAACTATCGGAGTTGAACCTATCTTATGATTGAGCAGTTTGGAAACACTCTTTGTAGAGTCTGCAAGTGGATATTTACAGAGATTTGAGGCCTATTGTGGAAAAGGAAGTATCTTCACATAAAAACCACACAGAAGCACTCTGAAAAACATCTTTGGGATGTGTGCATTCAACTAACCGTGTTGAAACAATGTTTTGATTGAGCAGCTTAGAATCTCTCTTTTTGTAGGAAATGCAAGTGGATATTTGGAGCCCCATTTCGCCCTATGGTGGAAAACGAAACATACTCACAAAAAAGCTGCAGAGAAGCATTCTGAGAAACTTCTTTGCGATGTTGGCATTCAACTCACAGAGTCGAATCTATCTTTTGATAGAGCAGTTTTGTATCTCTCTTTTTGCAGAATCTGCAAGTGGATATTTGGAAAGCTTTGAGGCCTATTGTGGAAAGGGAAATATCCTCAAATAAAAACTACCCAGAAGCACTCTGTGAAACTTCTTTGTGATGTGTGCATTCAACTCACAGTGTTGAACCTATGTTTTGATTGAGCAGTTTGGAATCTCTCCTTTTGTAGAATCTGCAAGTGAATATTTGGAGCCCTATTTCGCCCTATACTGGAAAAGCAAATATCTTCAAATAAAAACTACACAGAGGCATTCAGAGAAACTTCTCTGTGATGAGTGCATTCATCACACAGAGTTGAACATTTGTTTAGATTTAGCAGTGTTGAGACAATCTTTCCGTAGAATCTTGAAGTGAATATTTGGAGGGCTTTGAGACCTGCTTTGGAGAAGGAGATATCTTCATATAAAAACTACACAGAAGCTTTCTGAGAAACACCCTTGTGAGGTGTGCATTGAAGTCACAGAGTTAAACCTATCTTTTGATTCAGCAGATTTGAATCTCTCTTTTTGCAGAATCTGCGAGTGGATATTTGGAGTGCTTGGAAGCCTGCTGTGGAAAATCAAATATCTTCACAAAAAAAACTACACAGAAGCATTCTGAGAAACTCCTTTGTGATGTGTGCATTGATCTCACAGAGTTGAAAGTTTATTTTGATTGAGCTGTTTTGAAACACTCTTTTTCTAGAATCTGCAAGTGGATAATTGGGGAGATTTGAGGCATATTGTGGAAAAGCAAATATCTTCATATAGAAACTATACAGAAACCTTCTGAGAAACATCTTTGTGATGTGTGCATTCAGCTCACAGAGCTGGACCTAACTTTTGAGTGACCAGTTTTGAATCTCTCTTTTTGTACAATATGCAAGTGGATATTTGGAGCGATTTGAGGCCTACATTTGAAAATCAAATATCTTCCCTTAAAAACTACACAGAAACATTCTCAGAAATTGTTTGTCATGTGTGCTTTCCAATTACCAAGTTGAACCTATCTTGTGATTGAGCAGTTTTGAATCTCTCTTTTTGTGGAATCGGCAAGTGGATATTTTTAGCCCTTTGCAGACTGTGGTGGAAAAGGAATTATCTTCAAATCAATTCTACACAGAAGCATTCAGACAAACTTCTTTGTGATGAGTGCATTGGTCACACAGAATTGAACCTTCCCTTTGATTGAGCAATTCTGAAACACTCTTTTGGAGGGTCTGCAAGTGGACATTTTAGAGCTTTGGGACAACTGTGGAAAAGTAAATATCTTCACATAAAAACTACACGGAAGCATTCTGAGAAACTTCTTTGGAGGTGTGCATTCAACTCACAGAGTTGAACCTATCTTTTCATTGAGCAGTTTTGAATCTCTCATTTTGTAGACTCTGCTCGCAGATATTTGGAGAGCTTTGAGGCCTATTGTGGAAAAGGAAATATCTTCACATAAAAACACACAGAAGCACTCTGAGAAACTTCTTTGTGAGGTGTGCTTTCAACTCACAGAGTTGAACCTATCTTTTGATTGAGAAGTTTGGAATCTCTCTTTTTGTAGAAGCTGCATGTGGATATTTGGAGACGTTTGTGGCCTATGGTAGAAAAGGAAATATCTTCAAATAAAAACTAGACAGACGCATTTTGAGAAAATTCTCTGTGCTGTGTGCATTCATATCACATGGTTGAAACTACCTTTGGATTGAGCAGTTTTGAATCTCACTTTTTGTACCATCTGCAATGGATATTTGGAGCCCTTTCTGGTCTGTGGTGGAAAAGGAACTATCCTCAAATAGAAACTACACAGAAGTACTCTGAGAAACTTCTTTGTGATGTGGGCATTCATCTCACAGAGTTGAACCTTTGGTTTGATTGAGCAGTTTTGAGACAATCTTTCCATAGAATCTGGAAGTGAATATTTGGAGAACTTTGAGATCCATTTTGGAGAAGGAGATATCTTTATATAAAAACTACACAGAAGCATTCTGAGAAACATCCTTGTGAGGTGTGCACTGAAGTCACAGAGTTGAAACTGTCTTTTGATTCAGCAGTTTTGAATCTCTCTTTTTGCAGAATCTGTGAGTGGATATTTGGAGCGCTTTGAGGCCTACTGTGGAAAACCAAATATCTTCACATAAAAACTACACAGAAGCATCCTGAGAAACTTTTTTTGTGATGTGGTCTTTCAGCTAATGGAGTAGAAACTATCTTTTGATTGAGCAGTTTTGAATCTCTCTTTTTGCAGAATCTACGAGTGGATAACTGGAGAACTTTGAGGCGTACTGTGGAAAATCGAATATCTTCGCATAAAAACTACACAGAAGCATTCTGAGAAACTTCTCTGTCATACGTACATTCATCTCACAGGGTTGATCCTATTTCATGATTGAGCAGTTTTGGAACACTCTTTTTGTAGAATCTGCAAGTGAATATTTGGAGCTCTTTGGGGCCTACTGTGGAAAAACAAATATCTTCACATAAAAACTACACAGAAGCATTCTGAGAAACTACTTTGTGATGTGTGCATTCATCCCACAGAGTAGAACCTTTCTTTTGATTGAGCAGTTTCGAAACACTCTTTTGGTGGAATCTGCAAGTGGACATTTGGAAAGCTTTGAGGCCTATTGTGGAAAGGGAAATATCTTCAAATAAAAACCACCCAGAAGTACTCTGTGAAACTTCTTTGCGATGTATGCATTCAACTCACAGTGTTGAACCTATGTTTTGATTGAGCAGTTTGGAATCTCTCTTTCTGTAGAATCTGCAAGTGAATATTTGGAGCCCTATTTCGCCCTATACTGGAAAAGCAATTATCTTCAAATAAAAACTGCACAGAAGCATTCAGAGAAAGTTCTTTGAGATGAATGCATTCATGACACAGAGTTGAAACTTTGTTTTGATTTAGGAGTTTTGAGACAATCTTTCCGTAGAATCTTGAAGTGAATATTTGGAGGGCTTGGAGTTCTGTTTTAGAGAAGGAGATATCTTCATCAAAAACTACACAGAAGCTTTCTGAGAAACTTCTTTGTGATGTGTGCATTCAACTATCGGAGTTGAACCTATCTTATGATTGAGCAGTTTGGAAACACTCTTTGTAGAGTCTGCAAGTGGATATTTACAGAGATTTGAGGCCTATTGTGGAAAAGGAAGTATCTTCACATAAAAACCACACAGAAGCACTCTGAAAAACATCTTTGGGATGTGTGCATTCAACTAACCGTGTTGAAACAATGTTTTGATTGAGCAGCTTAGAATCTCTCTTTTTGTAGGAAATGCAAGTGGATATTTGGAGCCCCATTTCGCCCTATGGTGGAAAACGAAACATACTCACAAAAAAGCTGCAGAGAAGCATTCTGAGAAACTTCTTTGCGATGTTGGCATTCAACTCACAGAGTCGAATCTATCTTTTGATAGAGCAGTTTTGTATCTCTCTTTTTGCAGAATCTGCAAGTGGATATTTGGAAAGCTTTGAGGCCTATTGTGGAAAGGGAAATATCCTCAAATAAAAACTACCCAGAAGCACTCTGTGAAACTTCTTTGTGATGTGTGCATTCAACTCACAGTGTTGAACCTATGTTTTGATTGAGCAGTTTGGAATCTCTCCTTTTGTAGAATCTGCAAGTGAATATTTGGAGCCCTATTTCGCCCTATACTGGAAAAGCAAATATCTTCAAATAAAAACTACACAGAGGCATTCAGAGAAACTTCTCTGTGATGAGTGCATTCATCACACAGAGTTGAACATTTGTTTAGATTTAGCAGTGTTGAGACAATCTTTCCGTAGAATCTTGAAGTGAATATTTGGAGGGCTTTGAGACCTGCTTTGGAGAAGGAGATATCTTCATATAAAAACTACACAGAAGCTTTCTGAGAAACACCCTTGTGAGGTGTGCATTGAAGTCACAGAGTTAAACCTATCTTTTGATTCAGCAGATTTGAATCTCTCTTTTTGCAGAATCTGCGAGTGGATATTTGGAGTGCTTGGAAGCCTGCTGTGGAAAATCAAATATCTTCACAAAAAAAACTACACAGAAGCATTCTGAGAAACTTCTTTGTGATGTGTGCATTGATCTCACAGAGTTGAAAGTTTATTTTGATTGAGCTGTTTTGAAACACTCTTTTTCTAGAATCTGCAAGTGGATAATTGGGGAGATTTGAGGCATATTGTGGAAAAGCAAATATCTTCATATAAAAACTATACAGAAACCTTCTGAGAAACATCTTTGTGATGTGTGCATTCAGCTCACAGAGCTGGACCTAACTTTTGAGTGACCAGTTTTGAATCTCTCTTTTTGTACAATATGCAAGTGGATATTTGGAGCGATTTGAGGCCTACATTTGAAAATCAAATATCTTCCCTTAAAAACTACACAGAAACATTCTCAGAAATTGTTTGTCATGTGTGCTTTCCAATTACCAAGTTGAACCTATCTTGTGATTGAGCAGTTTTGAATCTCTCTTTTTGTGGAATCGGCAAGTGGATATTTTTAGCCCTTTGCGGACTGTGGTGGAAAAGGAATTATCTTCAAATCAATTCTACACAGAAGCATTCAGACAAACTTCTTTGTGATGAGTGCATTGGTCACACAGAATTGAACCTTCCCTTTGATTGAGCAATTCTGAAACACTCTTTTGGAGGGTCTGCAAGTGGATATTTTAGAGCTTTGGGACAACTGTGGAAAAGTAAATATCTTCACATAAAAACTACACGGAAGCATTCTGAGAAACTTCTTTGGAGGTGTGCATTCAACTCACAGAGTTGAACCTATCTTTTCATTGAGCAGTTTTGAATCTCTCATTTTGTAGACTCTGCTCGCAGATATTTGGAGAGCTTTGAGGCCTATTGTGGAAAAGGAAATATCTTCACATAAAAACACACAGAAAGCACTCTGAGAAACTTCTTTGTGAGGTGTGCTTTCAACTCACAGAGTTGAACCTATCTTTTGATTGAGAAGTTTTGAATCTCTCTTTTTGTAGAAGCTGCATGTGGATATTTGGAGACGTTTGTGGCCTATGGTAGAAAAGGAAATATCTTCAAATAAAAACTAGACAGCGCATTTTGAGAAAATTCTCTGTGCTGTGTGCATTCATATCACATGGTTGAAACTACCTTTGGATTGAGCAGTTTTGAATCTCACTTTTTGTACCATCTGCAATGGATATTTGGAGCCCTTTCTGGTCTGTGGTGGAAAAGGAACTATCCTCAAATAGAAACTACACAGAAGTACTCTGAGAAACTTCTTTGTGATGTGGGCATTCATCTCACAGAGTTGAACCTTTGGTTTGATTGAGCAGTTTTGAGACAATCTTTCCATAGAATCTGGAAGTGAATATTTGGAGAACTTTGAGATCCATTTTGGAGAAGGAGATATCTTTATATAAAAACTACACAGAAGCATTCTGAGAAACATCCTTGTGAGGTGTGCACTGAAGTCACAGAGTTGAAACTGTCTTTTGATTCAGCAGTTTTGAATCTCTCTTTTTGCAGAATCTGTGAGTGGATATTTGGAGCGCTTTGAGGCCTACTGTGGAAAACCAAATATCTTCACATAAAAACTACACAGAAGCATCCTGAGAAACTTTTTTTGTGATGTGGTCTTTCAGCTAATGGAGTAGAAACTATCTTTTGATTGAGCAGTTTTGAATCTCTCTTTTTGCGGGATCTACGAGTGGATAATTGGAGAACTTTGAGGCGTACTGTGGAAAATCGAATATCTTCGCATAAAAACTACACAGAAGCATTCTGAGAAACTTCTCTGTCATACGTACATTCGTCTCACAGGGTTGATCCTATTTCATGATTGAGCAGTTTTGGAACACTCTTTTTGTAGAATCTGCAAGTGAATATTTGGAGCTCTTTGGGGCCTACTGTGGAAAAACAAATATCTTCACATAAAAACTACACAGAAGCATTCTGAGAAACTACTTTGTGATGTGTGCATTCATCCCACAGAGTAGAAACTTACTTTTGATTGAGCAGTTTCGAAACACTCTTTTGGTGGAATCTGCAAGTGGACATTTGGAAAGCTTTGAGGCCTATTGTGGAAAGGGAAATATCTTCAAATAAAAACCACCCAGAAGTACTCTGTGAAACTTCTTTGCGATGTATGCATTCAACTCACAGTGTTGAACCTATGTTTTGATTGAGCAGTTTGGAATCTCTCTTTCTGTAGAATCTGCAAGTGAATATTTGGAGCCCTATTTCGCCCTATACTGGAAAAGCAATTATCTTCAAATAAAAACTGCACAGAAGCACTCAGAGAAACTTCTTTGTGATGAATGCATTCATCACACAGAGTTGAACCTTTGTTTTGATTTAGCAGTTTGAGACAATCTTTCCGTAGAATCTTGAAGTGAATATTTGGAGGGCTTGGAGTTCTGTTTTAGAGAAGAAGATATCTTCATCAAAAACTACACAGAAGCTTTCCGAGAAACTTCTTTGTGATGTGTGCATTCAACTATCGGAGTTGAACCTATCTTATGATTGAGCAGTTTGGAAACACTCTTTGTAGAGTCTGCAAGTGGATATTTACAGAGATTTGAGGCCTATTGTGGAAAAGGAAGTATCTTCACATAAAAACCACACAGAAGCACTCTGAAAAACATCTTTGGGATGTGTGCATTCAACTAACCGTGTTGAAACAATGTTTTGATTGAGCAGCTTAGAATCTCTCTTTTTGTAGGAAATGCAAGTGGATATTTGGAGCCCCATTTCGCCCTATGGTGGAAAACGAAACATACTCACAAAAAAGCTGCAGAGAAGCATTCTGAGAAACTTCTTTGCGATGTTGGCATTCAACTCACAGAGTCGAATCTATCTTTTGATAGAGCAGTGTTGTATCTCTCTTTTTGCAGAATCTGCAAGTGGATATTTGGAAAGCTTTGAGGCCTATTGTGGAAAGGGAAATATCCTCAAATAAAAACTACCCAGAAGCACTCTGTGAAACTTCTTTGTGATGTGTGCATTCAACTCACAGTGTTGAACCTATGTTTTGATTGAGCAGTTTGGAATCTCTCCTTTTGTAGAATCTGCAAGTGAATATTTGGAGCCCTATTTCGCCCTATACTGGAAAAGCAAATATCTTCAAATAAAAACTACACAGAGGCATTCAGAGAAACTTCTCTGTGATGAGTGCATTCATCACACAGAGTTGAACATTTGTTTAGATTTAGCAGTGTTGAGACAATCTTTCCGTAGAATCTTGAAGTGAATATTTGGAGGGCTTTGAGACCTGCTTTGGAGAAGGAGATATCTTCATATAAAAACTACACAGAAGCTTTCTGAGAAACACCCTTGTGAGGTGTGCATTGAAGTCACAGAGTTAAACCTATCTTTTGATTCAGCAGATTTGAATCTCTCTTTTTGCAGAATCTGCGAGTGGATATTTGGAGTGCTTGGAAGCCTGCTGTGGAAAATCAAATATCTTCACAAAAAAAACTACACAGAAGCATTCTGAGAAACTTCTTTGTGATGTGTGCATTGATCTCACAGAGTTGAAAGTTTATTTTGATTGAGCTGTTTTGAAACACTCTTTTTCTAGAATCTGCAAGTGGATAATTGGGGAGATTTGAGGCATATTGTGGAAAAGCAAATATCTTCATATAGAAACTATACAGAAACCTTCTGAGAAACATCTTTGTGATGTGTGCATTCAGCTCACAGAGCTGGACCTAACTTTTGAGTGACCAGTTTTGAATCTCTCTTTTTGTACAATATGCAAGTGGATATTTGGAGCGATTTGAGGCCTACATTTGAAAATCAAATATCTTCCCTTAAAAACTACACAGAAACATTCTCAGAAATTGTTTGTCATGTGTGCTTTCCAATTACCAAGTTGAACCTATCTTGTGATTGAGCAGTTTTGAATCTCTCTTTTTGTGGAATCGGCAAGTGGATATTTTTAGCCCTTTGCGGACTGTGGTGGAAAAGGAATTATCTTCAAATCAATTCTACACAGAAGCATTCAGACAAACTTCTTTGTGATGAGTGCATTGGTCACACAGAATTGAACCTTCCCTTTGATTGAGCAATTCTGAAACACTCTTTTGGAGGGTCTGCAAGTGGATATTTTAGAGCTTTGGGACAACTGTGGAAAAGTAAATATCTTCACATAAAAACTACACGGAAGCATTCTGAGAAACTTCTTTGGAGGTGTGCATTCAACTCACAGAGTTGAACCTATCTTTTCATTGAGCAGTTTTGAATCTCTCATTTTGTAGACTCTGCTCGCAGATATTTGGAGAGCTTTGAGGCCTATTGTGGAAAAGGAAATATCTTCACATAAAAACACACAGAAGCACTCTGAGAAACTTCTTTGTGAGGTGTGCTTTCAACTCACAGAGTTGAACCTATCTTTTGATTGAGAAGTTTTGAATCTCTCTTTTTGTAGAAGCTGCATGTGGATATTTGGAGACGTTTGTGGCCTATGGTAGAAAAGGAAATATCTTCAAATAAAAACTAGACAGACGCATTTTGAGAAAATTCTCTGTGCTGTGTGCATTCATATCACATGGTTGAAACTACCTTTGGATTGAGCAGTTTTGAATCTCACTTTTTGTACCATCTGCAATGGATATTTGGAGCCCTTTCTGGTCTGTGGTGGAAAAGGAACTATCCTCAAATAGAAACTACACAGAAGTACTCTGAGAAACTTCTTTGTGATGTGGGCATTCATCTCACAGAGTTGAACCTTTGGTTTGATTGAGCAGTTTTGAGACAATCTTTCCATAGAATCTGGAAGTGAATATTTGGAGAACTTTGAGATCCATTTTGGAGAAGGAGATATCTTTATATAAAAACTACACAGAAGCATTCTGAGAAACATCCTTGTGAGGTGTGCACTGAAGTCACAGAGTTGAAACTGTCTTTTGATTCAGCAGTTTTGAATCTCTCTTTTTGCAGAATCTGTGAGTGGATATTTGGAGCGCTTTGAGGCCTACTGTGGAAAACCAAATATCTTCACATAAAAACTACACAGAAGCATCCTGAGAAACTTTTTTTGTGATGTGGTCTTTCAGCTAATGGAGTAGAAACTATCTTTTGATTGAGCAGTTTTGAATCTCTCTTTTTGCAGGATCTACGAGTGGATAATTGGAGAACTTTGAGGCGTACTGTGGAAAATCGAATATCTTCGCATAAAAACTACACAGAAGCATTCTGAGAAACTTCTCTGTCATACGTACATTCATCTCACAGGGTTGATCCTATTTCATGATTGAGCAGTTTTGGAACACTCTTTTTGTAGAATCTGCAAGTGAATATTTGGAGCTCTTTGGGGCCTACTGTGGAAAAACAAATATCTTCACATAAAAACTACACAGAAGCATTCTGAGAAACTACTTTGTGATGTGTGCATTCATCCCACAGAGTAGAACCTTTCTTTTGATTGAGCAGTTTCGAAACACTCTTTTGGTGGAATCTGCAAGTGGACATTTGGAAAGCTTTGAGGCCTATTGTGGAAAGGGAAATATCTTCAAATAAAAACCACCCAGAAGTACTCTGTGAAACTTCTTTGCGATGTATGCATTCAACTCACAGTGTTGAACCTATGTTTTGATTGAGCAGTTTGGAATCTCTCTTTCTGTAGAATCTGCAAGTGAATATTTGGAGCCCTATTTCGCCCTATACTGGAAAAGCAATTATCTTCAAATAAAAACTGCACAGAAGCATTCAGAGAAACTTCTTTGAGATGAATGCATTCATGACACAGAGTTGAAACTTTGTTTTGATTTAGGAGTTTTGAGACAATCTTTCCGTAGAATCTTGAAGTGAATATTTGGAGGGCTTGGAGTTCTGTTTTAGAGAAGGAGATATCTTCATCAAAAACTACACAGAAGCTTTCTGAGAAACTTCTTTGTGATGTGTGCATTCAACTATCGGAGTTGAACCTATCTTATGATTGAGCAGTTTGGAAACACTCTTTGTAGAGTCTGCAAGTGGATATTTACAGAGATTTGAGGCCTATTGTGGAAAAGGAAGTATCTTCACATAAAAACCACACAGAAGCACTCTGAAAAACATCTTTGGGATGTGTGCATTCAACTAACCGTGTTGAAACAATGTTTTGATTGAGCAGCTTAGAATCTCTCTTTTTGTAGGAAATGCAAGTGGATATTTGGAGCCCCATTTCGCCCTATGGTGGAAAACGAAACATACTCACAAAAAAGCTGCAGAGAAGCATTCTGAGAAACTTCTTTGCGATGTTGGCATTCAACTCACAGAGTCGAATCTATCTTTTGATAGAGCAGTTTTGTATCTCTCTTTTTGCAGAATCTGCAAGTGGATATTTGGAAAGCTTTGAGGCCTATTGTGGAAAGGGAAATATCCTCAAATAAAAACTACCCAGAAGCACTCTGTGAAACTTCTTTGTGATGTGTGCATTCAACTCACAGTGTTGAACCTATGTTTTGATTGAGCAGTTTGGAATCTCTCCTTTTGTAGAATCTGCAAGTGAATATTTGGAGCCCTATTTCGCCCTATACTGGAAAAGCAAATATCTTCAAATAAAAACTACACAGAGGCATTCAGAGAAACTTCTCTGTGATGAGTGCATTCATCACACAGAGTTGAACATTTGTTTAGATTTAGCAGTGTTGAGACAATCTTTCCGTAGAATCTTGAAGTGAATATTTGGAGGGCTTTGAGACCTGCTTTGGAGAAGGAGATATCTTCATATAAAAACTACACAGAAGCTTTCTGAGAAACACCCTTGTGAGGTGTGCATTGAAGTCACAGAGTTAAACCTATCTTTTGATTCAGCAGATTTGAATCTCTCTTTTTGCAGAATCTGCGAGTGGATATTTGGAGTGCTTGGAAGCCTGCTGTGGAAAATCAAATATCTTCACAAAAAAAACTACACAGAAGCATTCTGAGAAACTTCTTTGTGATGTGTGCATTGATCTCACAGAGTTGAAAGTTTATTTTGATTGAGCTGTTTTGAAACACTCTTTTTCTAGAATCTGCAAGTGGATAATTGGGGAGATTTGAGGCATATTGTGGAAAAGCAAATATCTTCATATAAAAACTATACAGAAACCTTCTGAGAAACATCTTTGTGATGTGTGCATTCAGCTCACAGAGCTGGACCTAACTTTTGAGTGACCAGTTTTGAATCTCTCTTTTTGTACAATATGCAAGTGGATATTTGGAGCGATTTGAGGCCTACATTTGAAAATCAAATATCTTCCCTTAAAAACTACACAGAAACATTCTCAGAAATTGTTTGTCATGTGTGCTTTCCAATTACCAAGTTGAACCTATCTTGTGATTGAGCAGTTTTGAATCTCTCTTTTTGTGGAATCGGCAAGTGGATATTTTTAGCCCTTTGCGGACTGTGGTGGAAAAGGAATTATCTTCAAATCAATTCTACACAGAAGCATTCAGACAAACTTCTTTGTGATGAGTGCATTGGTCACACAGAATTGAACCTTCCCTTTGATTGAGCAATTCTGAAACACTCTTTTGGAGGGTCTGCAAGTGGACATTTTAGAGCTTTGGGACAACTGTGGAAAAGTAAATATCTTCACATAAAAACTACACGGAAGCATTCTGAGAAACTTCTTTGGAGGTGTGCATTCAACTCACAGAGT
The DNA here is from genome assembly GCF_000001405.40 of Homo sapiens. Taxonomy (NCBI): domain Eukaryota; kingdom Metazoa; phylum Chordata; class Mammalia; order Primates; family Hominidae; genus Homo; species Homo sapiens. The sequence goes on from NC_000015.10 coordinate 17,577,993, forward strand.
TGAACCTATCTTTTCATTGAGCAGTTTTGAATCTCTCATTTTGTAGACTCTGCTCGCAGATATTTGGAGAGCTTTGAGGCCTATTGTGGAAAAGGAAATATCTTCACATAAAAACACACAGAAGCACTCTGAGAAACTTCTTTGTGAGGTGTGCTTTCAACTCACAGAGTTGAACCTATCTTTTGATTGAGAACTTTTGAATCTCTCTTTTTGTAGAAGCTGCATGTGGATATTTGGAGACGTTTGTGGCCTATGGTAGAAAAGGAAATATCTTCAAATAAAAACTAGACAGACGCATTTTGAGAAAATTCTCTGTGCTGTGTGCATTCATATCACATGGTTGAAACTACCTTTGGATTGAGCAGTTTTGAATCTCACTTTTTGTACCATCTGCAATGGATATTTGGAGCCCTTTCTGGTCTGTGGTGGAAAAGGAACTATCCTCAAATAGAAACTACACAGAAGTACTCTGAGAAACTTCTTTGTGATGTGGGCATTCATCTCACAGAGTTGAACCTTTGGTTTGATTGAGCAGTTTTGAGACAATCTTTCCATAGAATCTGGAAGTGAATATTTGGAGAACTTTGAGATGCATTTTGGAGAAGGAGATATCTTTATATGAAAACTACACAGAAGCATTCTGAGAAACATCCTTGTGAGGTGTGCACTGAAGTCACAGAGTTGAAACTGTCTTTTGATTCAGCAGTTTTGAATCTCTCTTTTTGCAGAATCTGTGAGTGGATATTTGGAGCGCTTTGAGGCCTACTGTGGAAAACCAAATATCTTCACATAAAAACTACACAGAAGCATCCTGAGAAACTTTTTTTGTGATGTGGTCTTTCAGCTAATGGAGTAGAAACTATCTTTTGATTGAGCAGTTTTGAATCTCTCTTTTTGCAGAATCTACGAGTGGATAATTGGAGAACTTTGAGGCGTACTGTGGAAAATCGAATATCTTCGCATAAAAACTACACAGAAGCATTCTGAGAAACTTCTCTGTCATACGTACATTCATCTCACAGGGTTGATCCTATTTCATGATTGAGCAGTTTTGGAACACTCTTTTTGTAGAATCTGCAAGTGAATATTTGGAGCTCTTTGGGGCCTACTGTGGAAAAACAAATATCTTCACATAAAAACTACACAGAAGCATTCTGAGAAACTACTTTGTGATGTGTGCATTCATCCCACAGAGTAGAACCTTTCTTTTGATTGAGCAGTTTCGAAACACTCTTTTGGTGGAATCTGCAAGTGGACATTTGGAAAGCTTTGAGGCCTATTGTGGAAAGGGAAATATCTCCAAATAAAAACCACCCAGAAGTACTCTGTGAAACTTCTTTGCGATGTATGCATTCAACTCACAGTGTTGAACCTATGTTTTGATTGAGCAGTTTGGAATCTCTCTTTCTGTAGAATCTGCAAGTGAATATTTGGAGCCCTATTTCGCCCTATACTGGAAAAGCAATTATCTTCAAATAAAAACTGCACAGAAGCACTCAGAGAAACTTCTTTGTGATGAATGCATTCATCACACAGAGTTGAACCTTTGTTTTGATTTAGCAGTTTGAGACAATCTTTCCGTAGAATCTTGAAGTGAATATTTGGAGGGCTTGGAGTTCTGTTTTAGAGAAGAAGATATCTTCATCAAAAACTACACAGAAGCTTTCTGAGAAACTTCTTTGTGATGTGTGCATTCAACTATCGGAGTTGAACCTATCTTATGATTGAGCAGTTTGGAAACACTCTTTGTAGAGTCTGCAAGTGGATATTTACAGAGATTTGAGGCCTATTGTGGAAAAGGAAGTATCTTCACATAAAAACCACACAGAAGCACTCTGAAAAACATCTTTGGGATGTGTGCATTCAACTAACCGTGTTGAAACAATGTTTTGATTGAGCAGCTTAGAATCTCTCTTTTTGTAGGAAATGCAAGTGGATATTTGGAGCCCCATTTCGCCCTATGGTGGAAAACGAAACATACTCACAAAAAAGCTGCAGAGAAGCATTCTGAGAAACTTCTTTGCGATGTTGGCATTCAACTCACAGAGTCGAATCTATCTTTTGATAGAGCAGTTTTGTATCTCTCTTTTTGCAGAATCTGCAAGTGGATATTTGGAAAGCTTTGAGGCCTATTGTGGAAAGGGAAATATCCTCAAATAAAAACTACCCAGAAGCACTCTGTGAAACTTCTTTGTGATGTGTGCATTCAACTCACAGTGTTGAACCTATGTTTTGATTGAGCAGTTTGGAATCTCTCCTTTTGTAGAATCTGCAAGTGAATATTTGGAGCCCTATTTCGCCCTATACTGGAAAAGCAAATATCTTCAAATAAAAACTACACAGAGGCATTCAGAGAAACTTCTCTGTGATGAGTGCATTCATCACACAGAGTTGAACATTTGTTTAGATTTAGCAGTGTTGAGACAATCTTTCCGTAGAATCTTGAAGTGAATATTTGGAGGGCTTTGAGACCTGCTTTGGAGAAGGAGATATCTTCATATAAAAACTACACAGAAGCTTTCTGAGAAACACCCTTGTGAGGTGTGCATTGAAGTCACAGAGTTAAACCTATCTTTTGATTCAGCAGATTTGAATCTCTCTTTTTGCAGAATCTGCGAGTGGATATTTGGAGTGCTTGGAAGCCTGCTGTGGAAAATCAAATATCTTCACAAAAAAAACTACACAGAAGCATTCTGAGAAACTTCTTTGTGATGTGTGCATTGATCTCACAGAGTTGAAAGTTTATTTGGATTGAGCTGTTTTGAAACACTCTTTTTCTAGAATCTGCAAGTGGATAATTGGGGAGATTTGAGGCATATTGTGGAAAAGCAAATATCTTCATATAGAAACTATACAGAAACCTTCTGAGAAACATCTTTGTGATGTGTGCATTCAGCTCACAGCAGCTGGACCTAACTTTCGAGTGACCAGTTTTGAATCTCTCTTTTTGTACAATATGCAAGTGGATATTTGGAGCGATTTGAGGCCTACATTTGAAAATCAAATATCTTCCCTTAAAAACTACACAGAAACATTCTCAGAAATTGTTTGTCATGTGTGCTTTCCAATTACCAAGTTGAACCTATCTTGTGATTGAGCAGTTTTGAATCTCTCTTTTTGTGGAATCGGCAAGTGGATATTTTTAGCCCTTTGCGGACTGTGGTGGAAAAGGAATTATCTTCAAATCAATTCTACACAGAAGCATTCAGACAAACTTCTTTGTGATGAGTGCATTGGTCACACAGAATTGAACCTTCCCTTTGATTGAGCAATTCTGAAACACTCTTTTGGAGGGTCTGCAAGTGGACATTTTAGAGCTTTGGGACAACTGTGGAAAAGTAAATATCTTCACATAAAAACTACACGGAAGCATTCTGAGAAACTTCTTTGGAGGTGTGCATTCAACTCACAGAGTTGAACCTATCTTTTCATTGAGCAGTTTTGAATCTCTCATTTTGTAGACTCTGCTCGCAGATATTTGGAGAGCTTTGAGGCCTATTGTGGAAAAGGAAATATCTTCACATAAAAACACACAGAAGCACTCTGAGAAACTTCTTTGTGAGGTGTGCTTTCAACTCACAGAGTTGAACCTATCTTTTGATTGAGAAGTTTTGAATCTCTCTTTTTGTAGAAGCTGCATGTGGATATTTGGAGACGTTTGTGGCCTATGGTAGAAAAGGAAATATCTTCAAATAAAAACTAGACAGAACGCATTTTGAGAAAATTCTCTGTGCTGTGTGCATTCATATCACATGGTTGAAACTACCTTTGGATTGAGCAGTTTTGAATCTCACTTTTTGTACCATCTGCAATGGATATTTGGAGCCCTTTCTGGTCTGTGGTGGAAAAGGAACTATCCTCAAATAGAAACTACACAGAAGTACTCTGAGAAACTTCTTTGTGATGTGGGCATTCATCTCACAGAGTTGAACCTTTGGTTTGATTGAGCAGTTTTGAGACAATCTTTCCATAGAATCTGGAAGTGAATATTTGGAGAACTTTGAGATCCATTTTGGAGAAGGAGATATCTTTATATGAAAACTACACAGAAGCATTCTGAGAAACATCCTTGTGAGGTGTGCACTGAAGTCACAGAGTTGAAACTGTCTTTTGATTCAGCAGTTTTGAATCTCTCTTTTTGCAGAATCTGTGAGTGGATATTTGGAGCGCTTTGAGGCCTACTGTGGAAAACCAAATATCTTCACATAAAAACTACACAGAAGCATCCTGAGAAACTTTTTTTGTGATGTGGTCTTTCAGCTAATGGAGTAGAAACTATCTTTTGATTGAGTAGTTTTGAATCTCTCTTTTTGCAGAATCTACGAGTGGATAATTGGAGAACTTAGAGGTGTACTGTGGAAAATCGAATATCTTCGCATAAAAACTACACAGAAAGCATTCTGAGAAACTTCTCTGTCATACGTACATTCATCTCACAGGGTTGATCCTATTTCATGATGGAGCAGTTTTGGAACACTCTTTTTGTAGAATCTGCAAGTGAATATTTGGAGCTCTTTGGGGCCTACTGTGGAAAAACAAATATCTTCACATAAAAACTACACAGAAGCATTCTGAGAAACTACTTTGTAATGTGTGCATTCATCCCACAGAGTAGAACCTTTCTTTTGATTGAGCAGTTTCGAAACACTCTTTTGGTGGAATCTGCAAGTGGACATTTGGAAAGCTTTGAGGCCTATTGTGGAAAGGGAAATATCTTCAAATAAAAACCACCCAGAAGTACTCTGTGAAACTTCTTTGCGATGTATGCATTCAACTCACAGTGTTGAACCTATGTTTTGATTGAGCAGTTTGGAATCTCTCTTTCTGTAGAATCTGCAAGTGAATATTTGGAGCCCTATTTCGCCCTATACTGGAAAAGCAATTATCTTCAAATAAAAACTGCACAGAAGCATTCAGAGAAACTTCTTTGAGATGAATGCATTCATGACACAGAGTTGAAACTTTGTTTTGATTTAGGAGTTTTGAGACAATCTTTCCGTAGAATCTTGAAGTGAATATTTGGAGGGCTTGGAGTTCTGTTTTAGAGAAGAAGATATCTTCATCAAAAACTACACAGAAGCTTTCTGAGAAACTTCTTTGTGATGTGTGCATTCAACTATCGGAGTTGAACCTATCTTATGATTGAGCAGTTTGGAAACACTCTTTGTAGAGTCTGCAAGTGGATATTTACAGAGATTTGAGGCCTATTGTGGAAAAGGAAGTATCTTCACATAAAAACCACACAGAAGCACTCTGAAAAACATCTTTGGGATGTGTGCATTCAACTAACCGTGTTGAAACAATGTTTTGATTGAGCAGCTTAGAATCTCTCTTTTTGTAGGAAATGCAAGTGGATATTTGGAGCCCCATTTCGCCCTATGGTGGAAAACGAAACATACTCACAAAAAAGCTGCAGAGAAGCATTCTGAGAAACTTCTTTGCGATGTTGGCATTCAACTCACAGAGTCGAATCTATCTTTTGATAGAGCAGTTTTGTATCTCTCTTTTTGCAGAATCTGCAAGTGGATATTTGGAAAGCTTTGAGGCCTATTGTGGAAAGGGAAATATCCTCAAATAAAAACTACCCAGAAGCACTCTGTGAAACTTCTTTGTGATGTGTGCATTCAACTCACAGTGTTGAACCTATGTTTTGATTGAGCAGTTTGGAATCTCTCCTTTTGTAGAATCTGCAAGTGAATATTTGGAGCCCTATTTCGCCCTATACTGGAAAAGCAAATATCTTCAAATAAAAACTACACAGAGGCATTCAGAGAAACTTCTCTGTGATGAGTGCATTCATCACACAGAGTTGAACATTTGTTTAGATTTAGCAGTGTTGAGACAATCTTTCCGTAGAATCTTGAAGTGAATATTTGGAGGGCTTTGAGACCTGCTTTGGAGAAGGAGATATCTTCATATAAAAACTACACAGAAGCTTTCTGAGAAACACCCTTGTGAGGTGTGCATTGAAGTCACAGAGTTAAACCTATCTTTTGATTCAGCAGATTTGAATCTCTCTTTTTGCAGAATCTGCGAGTGGATATTTGGAGTGCTTGGAAGCCTGCTGTGGAAAATCAAATATCTTCACAAAAAAAACTACACTGAAGCATTCTGAGAAACTTCTTTGTGATGTGTGCATTGATCTCACAGAGTTGAAAGTTTATTTTGATTGAGCTGTTTTGAAACACTCTTTTTCTAGAATCTGCAAGTGGATAATTGGGGAGATTTGAGGCATATTGTGGAAAAGCCAATATCTTCATATAGAAACTATACAGAAACCTTCTGAGAAACATCTTTGTGATGTGTGCATTCAGCTCACAGAGCTGGACCTAACTTTTGAGTGACCAGTTTTGAATCTCTCTTTTTGTACAATATGCAAGTGGATATTTGGAGCGATTTGAGGCCTACATTTGAAAATCAAATATCTTCCCTTAAAAACTACACAGAAACATTCTCAGAAATTGTTTGTCATGTGTGCTTTCCAATTACCAAGTTGAACCTATCTTGTGATTGAGCAGTTTTGAATCTCTCTTTTTGTGGAATCGGCAAGTGGATATTTTTAGCCCTTTGCGGACTGTGGTGGAAAAGGAATTATCTTCAAATCAATTCTACACAGAAGCATTCAGACAAACTTCTTTGTGATGAGTGCATTGGTCACACAGAATTGAACCTTCCCTTTGATTGAGCAATTCTGAAACACTCTTTTGGAGGGTCTGCAAGTGGACATTTTAGAGCTTTGGGACAACTGTGGAAAAGTAAATATCTTCACATAAAAACTACACGGAAGCATTCTGAGAAACTTCTTTGGAGGTGTGCATTCAACTCACAGAGTTGAACCTATCTTTTCATTGAGCAGTTTTGAATCTCTCATTTTGTAGACTCTGCTCGCAGATATTTGGAGAGCTTTGAGGCCTATTGTGGAAAAGGAAATATCTTCACATAAAAACACACAGAAGCACTCTGAGAAACTTCTTTGTGAGGTGTGCTTTCAACTCACAGAGTTGAACCTATCTTTTGATTGAGAAGTTTTGAATCTCTCTTTTTGTAGAAGCTGCATGTGGATATTTGGAGACGTTTGTGGCCTATGGTAGAAAAGGAAATATCTTCAAATAAAAACTAGACAGACGCATTTTGGGAAAATTCTCTGTGCTGTGTGCATTCATATCACATGGTTGAAACTACCTTTGGATTGAGCAGTTTTGAATCTCACTTTTTGTACCATCTGCAATGGATATTTGGAGCCCTTTCTGGTCTGTGGTGGAAAAGGAACTATCCTCAAATAGAAACTACACAGAAGTACTCTGAGAAACTTCTTTGTGATGTGTGCATTCATCTCACAGAGTTGAACCTTTGGTTTGATTGAGCAGTTTTGAGACAATCTTTCCATAGAATCTGGAAGTGAATATTTGGGGAACTTTGAGATCCATTTTGGAGAAGGAGATATCTTTATATAAAAACTACACAGAAGCATTCTGAGAAACATCCTTGTGAGGTGTGCACTGAAGTCACAGAGTTGAAACTGTCTTTTGATTCAGCAGTTTTGAATCTCTCTTTTTGCAGAATCTGTGAGTGGATATTTGGAGCGCTTTGAGGCCTACTGTGGAAAACCAAATATCTTCACATAAAAACTACACAGAAGCATCCTGAGAAACTTTTTTTGTGATGTGGTCTTTCAGCTAATGGAGTAGAAACTATCTTTTGATTGAGCAGTTTTGAATCTCTCTTTTTGCAGAATCTACGAGTGGATAATTGGAGAACTTTGAGGCGTACTGTGGAAAATCGAATATCTTCGCATAAAAACTACACAGAATCATTCTGAGAAACTTCTCTGTCATACGTACATTCATCTCACAGGGTTGATCCTATTTCATGATTGAGCAGTTTTGGAACACTCTTTTTGTAGAATCTGCAAGTGAATATTTGGAGCTCTTTGGGGCCTACTGTGGAAAAACAAATATCTTCACATAATAACTACACAGAAGCATTCTGAGAAACTACTTTGTGATGTGTGCATTCATCCCACAGAGTAGAACCTTTCTTTTGATTGAGCAGTTTCGAAACACTCTTTTGGTGGAATCTGCAAGTGGACATTTGGAAAGCTTTGAGGCCTATTGTGGAAAGGGAAATATCTTCAAATAAAAACCACCCAGAAGTACTCTGTGCAACTTCTTTGCGATGTATGCATTCAACTCACAGTGTTGAACCTATGTTTTGATTGAGCAGTTTGGAATCTCTCTTTCTGTAGAATCTGCAAGTGAATATTTGGAGCCCTATTTCGCCCTATACTGGAAAAGCAATTATCTTCAAATAAAAACTGCACAGAAGCACTCAGAGAAACTTCTTTGTGATGAATGCATTCATCACACAGAGTTGAACCTTTGTTTTGATTTAGCAGTTTGAGACAATCTTTCCGTAGAATCTTGAAGTGAATATTTGGAGGGCTTGGAGTTCTGTTTTAGAGAAGAAGATATCTTCATCAAAAACTACACAGAAGCTTTCCGAGAAACTTCTTTGTGATGTGTGCATTCAACTATCGGAGTTGTACCTATCTTATGATTGAGGAGTTTGGAAACACTCTTTGTAGAGTCTGCAAGTGGATATTTACAGAGATTTGAGGCCTATTGTGGAAAAGGAAGTATCTTCACATAAAAACCACACAGAAGCACTCTGAAAAACATCTTTGGGATGTGTGCATTCAACTAACCGTGTTGAAACAATGTTTTGATTGAGCAGCTTAGAATCTCTCTTTTTGTAGGAAATGCAAGTGGATATTTGGAGCCCCATTTCGCCCTATGGTGGAAAACGAAACATACTCACAAAAAAGCTGCAGAGAAGCATTCTGAGAAACTTCTTTGCGATGTTGGCATTCAACTCACAGAGTCGAATCTATCTTTTGATAGAGCAGTTTTGTATCTCTCTTTTTGCAGAATCTGCAAGTGGATATTTGGAAAGCTTTGAGGCCTATTGTGGAAAGGGAAATATCCTCAAATAAAAACTACCCAGAAGCACTCTGTGAAACTTCTTTGTGATGTGTGCATTCAACTCACAGTGTTGAACCTATGTTTTGATTGAGCAGTTTGGAATCTCTCCTTTTGTAGAATCTGCAAGTGAATATTTGGAGCCCTATTTCGCCCTATACTGGAAAAGCAAATATCTTCAAATAAAAACTACACAGAGGCATTCAGAGAAACTTCTCTGTGATGAGTGCATTCATCACACAGAGTTGAACATTTGTTTAGATTTAGCAGTGTTGAGACAATCTTTCCGTAGAATCTTGAAGTGAATATTTGGAGGGCTTTGAGACCTGCTTTGGAGAAGGAGATATCTTCATATAAAAACTACACAGAAGCTTTCTGAGAAACACCCTTGTGAGGTGTGCATTGAAGTCACAGAGTTAAACCTATCTTTTGATTCAGCAGATTTGAATCTCTCTTTTTGCAGAATCTGCGAGTGGATATTTGGAGTGCTTGGAAGCCTGCTGTGGAAAATCAAATATCTTCACAAAAAAAACTACACAGAAGCATTCTGAGAAACTTCTTTGTGATGTGTGCATTGATCTCACAGAGTTGAAAGTTTATTTTGATTGAGCTGTTTTGAAACACTCTTTTTCTAGAATCTGCAAGTGGATAATTGGGGAGATTTGAGGCATATTGTGGAAAAGCAAATATCTTCATATAGAAACTATACAGAAACCTTCTGAGAAACATCTTTGTGATGTGTGCATTCAGCTCACAGAGCTGGACCTAACTTTTGAGTGACCAGTTTTGAATCTCTCTTTTTGTACAATATGCAAGTGGATATTTGGAGCGATTTGAGGCCTACATTTGAAAATCAAATATCTTCCCTTAAAAACTACACAGAAACATTCTCAGAAATTGTTTGTCATGTGTGCTTTCCAATTACCAAGTTGAACCTATCTTGTGATTGAGCAGTTTTGAATCTCTCTTTTTGTGGAATCGGCAAGTGGATATTTTTAGCCCTTTGCGGACTGTGGTGGAAAAGGAATTATCTTCAAATCAATTCTACACAGAAGCATTCAGACAAACTTCTTTGTGATGAGTGCATTGGTCACACAGAATTGAACCTTCCCTTTGATTGAGCAATTCTGAAACACTCTTTTGGAGGGTCTGCAAGTGGACATTTTAGAGCTTTGGGACAACTGTGGAAAAGTAAATATCTTCACATAAAAAATTCACGGAAGCATTCTGAGAAACTTCTTTGGAGGTGTGCATTCAACTCACAGAGTTGAACCTATCTTTTCATTGAGCAGTTTTGAATCTCTCATTTTGTAGACTCTGCTCGCAGATATTTGGAGAGCTTTGAGGCCTATTGTGGAAAAGGAAATATCTTCACATAAAAACACACAGAAGCACTCTGAGAAACTTCTTTGTGAGGTGTGCTTTCAACTCACAGAGTTGAACCTATCTTTTGATTGAGAAGTTTTGAATCTCTCTTTTTGTAGAAGCTGCATGTGGATATTTGGAGACGTTTGTGGCCTATGGTAGAAAAGGAAATATCTTCAAATAAAAACTAGACAGACGCATTTTGAGAAAATTCTCTGTGCTGTGTGCATTCATATCACATGGTTGAAACTACCTTTGGATTGAGCAGTTTTGAATCTCACTTTTTGTACCATCTGCAATGGATATTTGGAGCCCTTTCTGGTCTGTGGTGGAAAAGGAACTATCCTCAAATAGAAACTACACAGAAAGTACTCTGAGAAACTTCTTTGTGATGTGGGCATTCATCTCACAGAGTTGAACCTTTGGTTTGATTGAGCAGTTTTGAGACAATCTTTCCATAGAATCTGGAAGTGAATATTTGGAGAACTTTGAGATCCATTTTGGAGAAGGAGATATCTTTATATAAAAACTACACAGAAGCATTCTGAGAAACATCCTTGTGAGGTGTGCACTGAAGTCACAGAGTTGAAACTGTCTTTTGATTCAGCAGTTTTGAATCTCTCTTTTTGCAGAATCTGTGAGTGGATATTTGGAGCGCTTTGAGGCCTACTGTGGAAAACCAAATATCTTCACATAAAAACTACACAGAAGCATCCTGAGAAACTTTTTTTGTGATGTGGTCTTTCAGCTAATGGAGTAGAAACTATCTTTTGATTGAGCAGTTTTGAATCTCTCTTTTTGAAGGATCTACGAGTGGATAATTGGAGAACTTTGAGGCGTACTGTGGAAAATCGAATATCTTCGCATAAAAACTACACAGAAGCATTCTGAGAAACTTCTCTGTCATACGTACATTCATCTCACAGGGTTGATCCTATTTCATGATTGAGCAGTTTTGGAACACTCTTTTTGTAGAATCTGCAAGTGAATATTTGGAGCTCTTTGGGGCCTACTGTGGAAAAACAAATATCTTCACATAAAAACTACACAGAAGCATTCTGAGAAACTACTTTGTGATGTGTGCATTCATCCCACAGAGTAGAACCTTTCTTTTGATTGAGCAGTTTCGAAACACTCTTTTGGTGGAATCTGCAAGTGGACATTTGGAAAGCTTTGAGGCCTATTGTGGAAAGGGAAATATCTTCAAATAAAAACCACCCAGAAGTACTCTGTGAAACTTCTTTGCGATGTATGCATTCAACTCACAGTGTTGAACCTATGTTTTGATTGAGCAGTTTGGAATCTCTCTTTCTGTAGAATCTGCAAGTGAATATTTGGAGCCCTATTTCGCCCTATACTGGAAAAGCAATTATCTTCAAATAAAAACTGCACAGAAGCACTCAGAGAAACTTCTTTGTGATGAATGCATTCATCACACAGAGTTGAACCTTTGTTTTGATTTAGCAGTTTGAGACAATCTTTCCGTAGAATCTTGAAGTGAATATTTGGAGGGCTTGGAGTTCTGTTTTAGAGAAGAAGATATCTTCATCAAAAACTACACAGAAGCTTTCTGAGAAACTTCTTTGTGATGTGTGCATTCAACTATCGGAGTTGAACCTATCTTATGATTGAGCAGTTTGGAAACACTCTTTGTGGAGTCTGCAAGTGGATATTTACAGAGATTTGAGGCCTATTGTGGAAAAGGAAGTATCTTCACATAAAAACCACACAGAAGCACTCTGAAAAACATCTTTGGGATGTGTGCATTCAACTAACCGTGTTGAAACAATGTTTTGATTGAGCAGCTTAGAATCTCTCTTTTTGTAGGAAATGCAAGTGGATATTTGGAGCCCCATTTCGCCCTATGGTGGAAAACGAAACATACTCACAAAAAAGCTGCAGAGAAGCATTCTGAGAAACTTCTTTGCGATGTTGGCATTCAACTCACAGAGTCGAATCTATCTTTTGATAGAGCAGTTTTGTATCTCTCTTTTTGCAGAATCTGCAAGTGGATATTTGGAAAGCTTTGAGGCCTATTGTGGAAAGGGAAATATCCTCAAATAAAAACTACCCAGAAGCACTCTGTGAAACTTCTTTGTGATGTGTGCATTCAACTCACAGTGTTGAACCTATGTTTTGATTGAGCAGTTTGGAATCTCTCCTTTTGTAGAATCTGCAAGTGAATATTTGGAGCCCTATTTCGCCCTATACTGGAAAAGCAAATATCTTCAAATAAAAACTACACAGAGGCATTCAGAGAAACTTCTCTGTGATGAGTGCATTCATCACACAGAGTTGAACATTTGTTTAGATTTAGCAGTGTTGAGACAATCTTTCCATAGAATCTTGAAGTGAATATTTGGAGGGCTTTGAGACCTGCTTTGGAGAAGGAGATATCTTCATATAAAAACTACACAGAAGCTTTCTGAGAAACACCCTTGTGAGGTGTGCATTGAAGTCACAGAGTTAAACCTATCTTTTGATTCAGCAGATTTGAATCTCTCTTTTTGCAGAATCTGCGAGTGGATATTTGGAGTGCTTGGAAGCCTGCTGTGGAAAATCAAATATCTTCACAAAAAAAACTACACAGAAGCATTCTGAGAAACTTCTTTGTGATGTGTGCATTGATCTCACAGAGTTGAAAGTTTATTTTGATTGAGCTGTTTTGAAACACTCTTTTTCTAGAATCTGCAAGTGGATAATTGGGGAGATTTGAGGCATATTGTGGAAAAGCAAATATCTTCATATAGAAACTATACAGAAACCTTCTGAGAAACATCTTTGTGATGTGTGCATTCAGCTCACAGAGCTGGACCTAACTTTTGAGTGACCAGTTTTGAATCTCTCTTTTTGTACAATATGCAAGTGGATATTTGGAGCGATTTGAGGCCTACATTTGAAAATCAAATATCTTCCCTTAAAAACTACACAGAAACATTCTCAGAAATTGTTTGTCATGTGTGCTTTCCAATTACCAAGTTGAACCTATCTTGTGATTGAGCAGTTTTGAATCTCTCTTTTTGTGGAATCGGCAAGTGGATATTTTTAGCCCTTTGCGGACTGTGGTGGAAAAGGAATTATCTTCAAATCAATTCTACACAGAAGCATTCAGACAAACTTCTTTGTGATGAGTGCATTGGTCACACAGAATTGAACCTTCCCTTTGATTGAGCAATTCTGAAACACTCTTTTGGAGGGTCTGCAAGTGGACATTTTAGAGCTTTGGGACAACTGTGGAAAAGTAAATATCTTCACATAAAAACTACACGGAAGCATTCTGAGAAACTTCTTTGGAGGTGTGCATTCAACTCACAGAGTTGAACCTATCTTTTCATTGAGCAGTTTTGAATCTCTCATTTTGTAGACTCTGCTCGCAGATATTTGGAGAGCTTTGAGGCCTATTGTGGAAAAGGAAATATCTTCACATAAAAACACACAGAAGCACTCTGAGAAACTTCTTTGTGAGGTGTGCTTTCAACTCACAGAGTTGAACCTATCTTTTGATTGAGAAGTTTTGAATCTCTCTTTTTGTAGAAGCTGCATGTGGATATTTGGAGACGTTTGTGGCCTATGGTAGAAAAGGAAATATCTTCAAATAAAAACTAGACAGACGTATTTTGAGAAAATTCTCTGTGCTGTGTGCATTCATATCACATGGTTGAAACTACCTTTGGATTGAGCAGTTTTGAATCTCACTTTTTGTACCATCTGCAATGGATATTTGGAGCCCTTTCTGGTCTGTGGTGGAAAAGGAACTATCCTCAAATAGAAACTACACAGAAGTACTCTGAGAAACTTCTTTGTGATGTGTGCATTCATCTCACAGAGTTGAACCTTTGGTTTGATTGAGCAGTTTTGAGACAATCTTTCCATAGAATCTGGAAGTGAATATTTGGAGAACTTTGAGATCCATTTTGGAGAAGGAGATATCTTTATATAAAAACTACACAGAAGCATGCTGAGAAACATCCTTGTGAGGTGTGCACTGAAGTCACAGAGTTGAAACTGTCTTTTGATTCAGCAGTTTTGAATCTCTCTTTTTGCAGAATCTGTGAGTGGATATTTGGAGCGCTTTGAGGCCTACTGTGGAAAACCAAATATCTTCACATAAAAACTACACAGAAGCATCCTGAGAAACTTTTTTTGTGATGTGGTCTTTCAGCTAATGGAGTAGAAACTATCTTTTGATTGAGCAGTTTTGAATCTCTCTTTTTGCAGAATCTACGAGTGGATAATTGGAGAACTTTGAGGCGTACTGTGGAAAATCGAATATCTTCGCATAAAAACTACACAGAAGCATTCTGAGAAACTTCTCTGTCATACGTACATTCATCTCACAGGGTTGATCCTATTTCATGATTGAGCAGTTTTGGAACACTCTTTTTGTAGAATCTGCAAGTGAATATTTGGAGCTCCTTGGGGCCTACTGTGGAAAAACAAATATCTTCACATAAAAACTACACAGAAGCATTCTGAGAAACTACTTTGTGATGTGTGCATTCATCCCACAGAGTAGAACCTTTCTTTTGATTGAGCAGTTTCGAAACACTCTTTTGGTGGAATCTGCAAGTGGACATTTGGAAAGCTTTGAGGTCTATTGTGGAAAGGGAAATATCTTCAAATAAAAACCACCCAGAAGTACTCTGTGAAACTTCTTTGCGATGTATGCATTCAACTCACAGTGTTGAACCTATGTTTTGATTGAGCAGTTTGGAATCTCTCTTTCTGTAGAATCTGCAAGTGAATATTTGGAGCCCTATTTCGCCCTATACTGGAAAAGCAATTATCTTCAAATAAAAACTGCACAGGAAGCACTCAGAGAAACTTCTTTGTGATGAATGCATTCATCACACAGAGTTGAACCTTTGTTTTGATTTAGCAGTTTGAGACAATCTTTCCGTAGAATCTTGAAGTGAATATTTGGAGGGCTTGGAGTTCTGTTTTAGAGAAGAAGATATCTTCATCAAAAACTACACAGAAGCTTTCCGAGAAACTTCTTTGTGATGTGTGCATTCAACTATCGGAGTTGAACCTATCTTATGATTGAGGAGTTTGGAAACACTCTTTGTAGAGTCTGCAAGTGGATATTTACAGAGATTTGAGGCCTATTGTGGAAAAGGAAGTATCTTCACATAAAAACCACACAGAAGCACTCTGAAAAACATCTTTGGGATGTGTGCATTCAACTAACCGTGTTGAAACAATGTTTTGATTGAGCAGCTTAGAATCTCTCTTTTTGTAGGAAATGCAAGTGGATATTTGGAGCCCCATTTCGCCCTATGGTGGAAAACGAAACATACTCACAAAAAAGCTGCAGAGAAGCATTCTGAGAAACTTCTTTGCGATGTTGGCATTCAACTCACAGAGTCGAATCTATCTTTTGATAGAGCAGTTTTGTATCTCTCTTTTTGCAGAATCTGCAAGTGGATATTTGGAAAGCTTTGAGGCCTATTGTGGAAAGGGAAATATCCTCAAATAAAAACTACCCAGAAGCACTCTGTGAAACTTCTTTGTGATGTGTGCATTCAACTCACAGTGTTGAACCTATGTTTTGATTGAGCAGTTTGGAATCTCTCCTTTTGTAGAATCTGCAAGTGAATATTTGGAGCCCTATTTCGCCCTATACTGGAAAAGCAAATATCTTCAAATAAAAACTACACAGAGGCATTCAGAGAAACTTCTCTGTGATGAGTGCATTCATCACACAGAGTTGAACATTTGTTTAGATTTAGCAGTGTTGAGACAATCTTTCCGTAGAATCTTGAAGTGAATATTTGGAGGGCTTTGAGACCTGCTTTGGAGAAGGAGATATCTTCATATAAAAACTACACAGAAGCTTTCTGAGAAACACCCTTGTGAGGTGTGCATTGAAGTCACAGAGTTAAACCTATCTTTTGATTCAGCAGATTTGAATCTCTCTTTTTGCAGAATCTGCGAGTGGATATTTGGAGTGCTTGGAAGCCTGCTGTGGAAAATCAAATATCTTCACAAAAAAAACTACACAGAAGCATTCTGAGAAACTTCTTTGTGATGTGTGCATTGATCTCACAGAGTTGAAAGTTTATTTTGATTGAGCTGTTTTGAAACACTCTTTTTCTAGAATCTGCAAGTGGATAATTGGGGAGATTTGAGGCATATTGTGGAAAAGCCAATATCTTCATATAAAAACTATACAGAAACCTTCTGAGAAACATCTTTGTGATGTGTGCATTCAGCTCACAGAGCTGGACCTAACTTTTGAGTGACCAGTTTTGAATCTCTCTTTTTGTACAATATGCAAGTGGATATTTGGAGCGATTTGAGGCCTACATTTGAAAATCAAATATCTTCCCTTAAAAACTACACAGAAACATTCTCAGAAATTGTTTGTCATGTGTGCTTTCCAATTACCAAGTTGAACCTATCTTGTGATTGAGCAGTTTTGAATCTCTCTTTTTGTGGAATCGGCAAGTGGATATTTTTAGCCCTTTGCGGACTGTGGTGGAAAAGGAATTATCTTCAAATCAATTCTACACAGAAGCATTCAGACAAACTTCTTTGTGATGAGTGCATTGGTCACACAGAATTGAACCTTCCCTTTGATTGAGCAATTCTGAAACACTCTTTTGGAGGGTCTGCAAGTGGACATTTTAGAGCTTTGGGACAACTGTGGAAAAGTAAATATCTTCACATAAAAACTACACGGAAGCATTCTGAGAAACTTCTTTGGAGGTGTGCATTCAACTCACAGAGTTGAACCTATCTTTTCATTGAGCAGTTTTGAATCTCTCATTTTGTAGACTCTGCTCGCAGATATTTGGAGAGCTTTGAGGCCTATTGTGGAAAAGGAAATATCTTCACATAAAAACACACAGAAGCACTCTGAGAAACTTCTCTGTGAGGTGTGCTTTCAACTCACAGAGTTGAACCTATCTTTTGATTGAGAAGTTTTGAATCTCTCTTTTTGTAGAAGCTGCATGTGGATATTTGGAGACGTTTGTGGCCTATGGTAGAAAAGGAAATATCTTCAAATAAAAACTAGACAGACGCATTTTGAGAAAATTCTCTGTGCTGTGTGCATTCATATCACATGGTTGAAACTACCTTTGGATTGAGCAGTTTTGAATCTCACTTTTTGTACCATCTGCAATGGATATTTGGAGCCCTTTCTGGTCTGTGGTGGAAAAGGAACTATCCTCAAATAGAAACTACACAGAAGTACTCTGAGAAACTTCTTTGTGATGTGGGCATTCATCTCACAGAGTTGAACCTTTGGTTTGATTGAGCAGTTTTGAGACAATCTTTCCATAGAATCTGGAAGTGAATATTTGGAGAACTTTGAGATCCATTTTGGAGAAGGAGATATCTTTATATAAAAACTACACAGAAGCATTCTGAGAAACATCCTTGTGAGGTGTGCACTGAAGTCACAGAGTTGAAACTGTCTTTTGATTCAGCAGTTTTGAATCTCTCTTTTTGCAGAATCTGTGAGTGGATATTTGGAGCGCTTTGAGGCCTACTGTGGAAAACCAAATATCTTCACATAAAAACTACACAGAAGCATCCTGAGAAACTTTTTTTGTGATGTGGTCTTTCAGCTAATGGAGTAGAAACTATCTTTTGATTGAGCAGTTTTGAATCTCTCTTTTTGCAGGATCTACGAGTGGATAATTGGAGAACTTTGAGGCGTACTGTGGAAAATCGAATATCTTCGCATAAAAACTACACAGAAGCATTCTGAGAAACTTCTCTGTCATACGTACATTCATCTCACAGGGTTGATCCTATTTCATGATTGAGCAGTTTTGGAACACTCTTTTTGTAGAATCTGCAAGTGAATATTTGGAGCTCTTTGGGGCCTACTGTGGAAAAACAAATATCTTCACATAAAAACTACACAGAAGCATTCTGAGAAACTACTTTGTGATGTGTGCATTCATCCCACAGAGTAGAACCTTTCTTTTGATTGAGCAGTTTCGAAACACTCTTTTGGTGGAATCTGCAAGTGGACATTTGGAAAGCTTTGAGGCCTATTGTGGAAAGGGAAATATCTTCAAATAAAAACCACCCAGAAGTACTCTGTGAAACTTCTTTGCGATGTATGCATTCAACTCACAGTGTTGAACCTATGTTTTGATTGAGCAGTTTGGAATCTCTCTTTCTGTAGAATCTGCAAGTGAATATTTGGAGCCCTATTTCGCCCTATACTGGAAAGGCAATTATCTTCAAATAAAAACTGCACAGAAGCATTCAGAGAAACTTCTTTGAGATGAATGCATTCATGACACAGAGTTGAAACTTTGTTTTGATTTAGGAGTTTTGAGACAATCTTTCCGTAGAATCTTGAAGTGAATATTTGGAGGGCTTGGAGTTCTGTTTTAGAGAAGGAGATATCTTCATCAAAAACTACACAGAAGCTTTCTGAGAAACTTCTTTGTGATGTGTGCATTCAACTATTGGAGTTGAACCTATCTTATGATTGAGCAGTTTGGAAACACTCTTTGTAGAGTCTGCAAGTGGATATTTACAGAGATTTGAGGCCTATTGTGGAAAAAGAAGTATCTTCACATAAAAACCACACAGAAGCACTCTGAAAAACATCTTTGGGATGTGTGCATTCAACTAACCGTGTTGAAACAATGTTTTGATTGAGCAGCTTAGAATCTCTCTTTTTGTAGGAAATGCAAGTGGATATTTGGAGCCCCATTTCGCCCTATGGTGGAAAACGAAACATACTCACAAAAAAGCTGCAGAGAAGCATTCTGAGAAACTTCTTTGCGATGTTGGCATTCAACTCACAGAGTCGAATCTATCTTTTGATAGAGCAGTTTTGTATCTCTCTTTTTGCAGAATCTGCAAGTGGATATTTGGAAAGCTTTGAGGCCTATTGTGGAAAGGGAAATATCCTCAAATAAAAACTACCCAGAAGCACTCTGTGAAACTTCTTTGTGATGTGTGCATTCAACTCACAGTGTTGAACCTATGTTTTGATTGAGCAGTTTGGAATCTCTCCTTTTGTAGAATCTGCAAGTGAATATTTGGAGCCCTATTTCGCCCTATACTGGAAAAGCAAATATCTTCAAATAAAAACTACACAGAGGCATTCAGAGAAACTTCTCTGTGATGAGTGCATTCATCACACAGAGTTGAACATTTGTTTAGATTTAGCAGTGTTGAGACAATCTTTCCGTAGAATCTTGAAGTGAATATTTGGAGGGCTTTGAGACCTGCTTTGGAGAAGGAGATATCTTCATATAAAAACTACACAGAAGCTTTCTGAGAAACACCCTTGTGAGGTGTGCATTGAAGTCACAGAGTTAAACCTATCTTTTGATTCAGCAGATTTGAATCTCTCTTTTTGCAGAATCTGCGAGTGGATATTTGGAGTGCTTGGAAGCCTGCTGTGGAAAATCAAATATCTTCACAAAAAAAACTACACAGAAGCATTCTGAGAAACTTCTTTGTGATGTGTGCATTGATCTCACAGAGTTGAAAGTTTATTTTGATTGAGCTGTTTTGAAACACTCTTTTTCTAGAATCTGCAAGTGGATAATTGGGGAGATTTGAGGCATATTGTGGAAAAGCAAATATCTTCATATAGAAACTATACAGAAACCTTCTGAGAAACATCTTTGTGATGTGTGCATTCAGCTCACAGAGTGGACCTAACTTTTGAGTGACCAGTTTTGAATCTCTCTTTTTGTACAATATGCAAGTGGATATTTGGAGCGATTTGAGGCCTACATTTGAAAATCAAATATCTTCCCTTAAAAACTACACAGAAACATTCTCAGAAATTGTTTGTCATGTGTGCTTTCCAATTACCAAGTTGAACCTATCTTGTGATTGAGCAGTTTTGAATCTCTCTTTTTGTGGAATCGGCAAGTGGATATTTTTAGCCCTTTGCGGACTGTGGTGGAAAAGGAATTATCTTCAAATCAATTCTACACAGAAGCATTCAGACAAACTTCTTTGTGATGAGTGCATTGGTCACACAGAATTGAACCTTCCCTTTGATTGAGCAATTCTGAAACACTCTTTTGGAGGGTCTGCAAGTGGACATTTTAGAGCTTTGGGACAACTGTGGAAAAGTAAATATCTTCACATAAAAACTACACGGAAGCATTCTGAGAAACTTCTTTGGAGGTGTGCATTCAACTCACAGAGTTGAACCTATCTTTTCATTGAGCAGTTTTGAATCTCTCATTTTGTAGACTCTGCTCGCAGATATTTGGAGAGCTTTGAGGCCTATTGTGGAAAAGGAAATATCTTCACATAAAAACACACAGAAGCACTCTGAGAAACTTCTCTGTGAGGTGTGCTTTCAACTCACAGAGTTGAACCTATCTTTTGATTGAGAAGTTTTGAATCTCTCTTTTTGTAGAAGCTGCATGTGGATATTTGGAGACGTTTGTGGCCTATGGTAGAAAAGGAAATATCTTCAAATAAAAACTAGACAGACGCATTTTGAGAAAATTCTCTGTGCTGTGTGCATTCATATCACATGGTTGAAACTACCTTTGGATTGAGCAGTTTTGAATCTCACTTTTTGTACCATCTGCAATGGATATTTGGAGCCCTTTCTGGTCTGTGGTGGAAAAGGAACTATCCTCAAATAGAAACTACACAGAAGTACTCTGAGAAACTTCTTTGTGATGTGGGCATTCATCTCACAGAGTTGAACCTTTGGTTTGATTGAGCAGTTTTGAGACAATCTTTCCATAGAATCTGGAAGTGAATATTTGGAGAACTTTGAGATCCATTTTGGAGAAGAGATATCTTTATATAAAAACTACACAGAAGAATTCTGAGAAACATCCTTGTGAGGTGTGCACTGAAGTCACAGAGTTGAAACTGTCTTTTGATTCAGCAGTTTTGAATCTCTCTTTTTGCAGAATCTGTGAGTGGATATTTGGAGCGCTTTGAGGCCTACTGTGGAAAACCAAATATCTTCACATAAAAACTACACAGAAGCATCCTGAGAAACTTTTTTTGTGATGTGGTCTTTCAGCTAAATGGAGTAGAAACTATCTTTTGATTGAGCAGTTTTGAATCTCTCTTTTTGCAGAATCTACGAGTGGATAATTGGAGAACTTTGAGGCGTACTGTGGAAAATCGAATATCTTCGCATAAAAACTACACAGAAGCATTCTGAGAAACTTCTCTGTCATACGTACATTCATCTCACAGGGTTGATCCTATTTCATGATTGAGCAGTTTTGGAACACTCTTTTTGTAGAATCTGCAAGTGAATATTTGGAGCTCTTTGGGGCCTACTGTGGAAAAACAAATATCTTCACATAAAAACTACACAGAAGCATTCTGAGAAACTACTTTGTGATGTGTGCATTCATCCCACAGAGTAGAACCTTTCTTTTGATTGAGCAGTTTCGAAACACGCTTTTGGTGGAATCTGCAAGTGGACATTTGGAAAGCTTTGAGGCCTATTGTGGAAAGGGAAATATCTTCAAATAAAAACCACCCAGAAGTACTCTGTGAAACTTCTTTGCGATGTATGCATTCAACTCACAGTGTTGAACCTATGTTTTGATTGAGCAGTTTGGAATCTCTCTTTCTGTAGAATCTGCAAGTGAATATTTGGAGCCCTATTTCGCCCTATACTGGAAAAGCAATTATCTTCAAATAAAAACTGCACAGAAGCATTCAGAGAAAGTTCTTTGAGATGAATGCATTCATGACACAGAGTTGAAACTTTGTTTTGATTTAGGAGTTTTGAGACAATCTTTCCGTAGAATCTTGAAGTGAATATTTGGAGGGCTTGGAGTTCTGTTTTAGAGAAGGAGATATCTTCATCAAAAACTACACAGAAGCTTTCTGAGAAACTTCTTTGTGATGTGTGCATTCAACTATCGGAGTTGAACCTATCTTATGATTGAGCAGTTTGGAAACACTCTTTGTAGAGTCTGCAAGTGGATATTTACAGAGATTTGAGGCCTATTGTGGAAAAGGAAGTATCTTCACATAAAAACCACACAGAAGCACTCTGAAAAACATCTTTGGGATGTGTGCATTCAACTAACCGTGTTGAAACAATGTTTTGATTGAGCAGCTTAGAATCTCTCTTTTTGTAGGAAATGCAAGTGGATATTTGGAGCCCCATTTCGCCCTATGGTGGAAAACGAAACATACTCACAAAAAAGCTGCAGAGAAGCATTCTGAGAAACTTCTTTGCGATGTTGGCATTCAACTCACAGAGTCGAATCTATCTTTTGATAGAGCAGTTTTGTATCTCTCTTTTTGCAGAATCTGCAAGTGGATATTTGGAAAGCTTTGAGGCCTATTGTGGAAAGGGAAATATCCTCAAATAAAAACTACCCAGAAGCACTCTGTGAAACTTCTTTGTGATGTGTGCATTCAACTCACAGTGTTGAACCTATGTTTTGATTGAGCAGTTTGGAATCTCTCCTTTTGTAGAATCTGCAAGTGAATATTTGGAGCCCTATTTCGCCCTATACTGGAAAAGCAAATATCTTCAAATAAAAACTACACAGAGGCATTCAGAGAAACTTCTCTGTGATGAGTGCATTCATCACACAGAGTTGAACATTTGTTTAGATTTAGCAGTGTTGAGACAATCTTTCCGTAGAATCTTGAAGTGAATATTTGGAGGGCTTTGAGACCTGCTTTGGAGAAGGAGATATCTTCATATAAAAACTACACAGAAGCTTTCTGAGAAACACCCTTGTGAGGTGTGCATTGAAGTCACCGAGTTAAACCTATCTTTTGATTCAGCAGATTTGAATCTCTCTTTTTGCAGAATCTGCGAGTGGATATTTGGAGTGCTTGGAAGCCTGCTGTGGAAAATCAAATATCTTCACAAAAAAAACTACACAGAAGCATTCTGAGAAACTTCTTTGTGATGTGTGCATTGATCTCACAGAGTTGAAAGTTTATTTTGATTGAGCTGTTTTGAAACACTCTTTTTCTAGAATCTGCAAGTGGATAATTGGGGAGATTTGAGGCATATTGTGGAAAAGCAAATATCTTCATATAGAAACTATACAGAAACCTTCTGAGAAACATCTTTGTGATGTGTGCATTCAGCTCACAGAGCTGGACCTAACTTTTGAGTGACCAGTTTTGAATCTCTCTTTTTGTACAATATGCAAGTGGAGCGATTTGAGGCCTACATTTGAAAATCAAATATCTTCCCTTAAAAACTACACAGAAACATTCTCAGAAATTGTTTGTCATGTGTGCTTTCCAATTACCAAGTTGAACCTATCTTGTGATTGAGCAGTTTTGAATCTCTCTTTTTGTGGAATCGGCAAGTGGATATTTTTAGCCCTTTGCGGACTGTGGTGGAAAAGGAATTATCTTCAAATCAATTCTACACAGAAGCATTCAGACAAACTTCTTTGTGATGAGTGCATTGGTCACACAGAATTGAACCTTCCCTTTGATTGAGCAATTCTGAAACACTCTTTTGGAGGGTCTGCAAGTGGACATTTTAGAGCTTTGGGACAACTGTGGAAAAGTAAATATCTTCACATAAAAACTGCACGGAAGCATTCTGAGAAACTTCTTTGGAGGTGTGCATTCAACTCACAGAGTTGAACCTATCTTTTCATTGAGCAGTTTTGACTCTCTCATTTTGTAGACTCTGCTCGCAGATATTTGGAGAGCTTTGAGGCCTATTGTGGAAAAGGAAATATCTTCACATAAAAACACACAGAAAGCACTCTGAGAAACTTCTCTGTGAGGTGTGCTTTCAACTCACAGAGTTGAACCTATCTTTTGATTGAGAAGTTTTGAATCTCTCTTTTTGTAGAAGCTGCATGTGGATATTTGGAGACGTTTGTGGCCTATGGTAGAAAAGGAAATATCTTCAAATAAAAACTAGACAGCGCATTTTGAGAAAATTCTCTGTGCTGTGTGCATTCATATCACATGGTTGAAACTACCTTTGGATTGAGCAGTTTTGAATCTCACTTTTTGTACCATCTGCAATGGATATTTGGAGCCCTTTCTGGTCTGTGGTGGAAAAGGAACTATCCTCAAATAGAAACTACACAGAAGTACTCTGAGAAACTTCTTTGTGATGTGGGCATTCATCTCACAGAGTTGAACCTTTGGTTTGATTGAGCAGTTTTGAGACAATCTTTCCATAGAATCTGGAAGTGAATATTTGGAGAACTTTGAGATCCATTTTGGAGAAGGAGATATCTTTATATGAAAACTACACAGAAGCATTCTGAGAAACATCCTTGTGAGGTGTGCACTGAAGTCACAGAGTTGAAACTGTCTTTTGATTCAGCAGTTTTGAATCTCTCTTTTTGCAGAATCTGTGAGTGGATATTTGGAGCGCTTTGAGGCCTACTGTGGAAAACCAAATATCTTCACATAAAAACTACACAGAAGCATCCTGAGAAACTTTTTTTGTGATGTGGTCTTTCAGCTAATGGAGTAGAAACTATCTTTTGATTGAGCAGTTTTGAATCTCTCTTTTTGCAGAATCTACGAGTGGATAATTGGAGAACTTTGAGGCGTACTGTGGAAAATCGAATATCTTCGCATAAAAACTACACAGAAGCATTCTGAGAAACTTCTCTGTCATACGTACATTCATCTCACAGGGTTGATCCTATTTCATGATTGAGCAGTTTTGGAACACTCTTTTTGTAGAATCTGCAAGTGAATATTTGGAGCTCTTTGGGGCCTACTGTGGAAAAACAAATATCTTCACATAAAAACTACACAGAAGCATTCTGAGAAACTACTTTGTGATGTGTGCATTCATCCCACAGAGTAGAACCTTTCTTTTGATTGAGCAGTTTCGAAACACTCTTTTGGTGGAATCTGCAAGTGGACATTTGGAAAGCTTTGAGGCCTATTGTGGAAAGGGAAATATCTTCAAATAAAAACCACCCAGAAGTACTCTGTGAAACTTCTTTGCGATGTATGCATTCAACTCACAGTGTTGAACCTATGTTTTGATTGAGCAGTTTGGAATCTCTCTTTCTGTAGAATCTGCAAGTGAATATTTGGAGCCCTATTTCGCCCTATACTGGAAAAGCAATTATCTTCAAATAAAAACTGCACAGAAGCATTCAGAGAAACTTCTTTGAGATGAATGCATTCATGACACAGAGTTGAAACTTTGTTTTGATTTAGGAGTTTTGAGACAATCTTTCCGTAGAATCTTGAAGTGAATATTTGGAGGGCTTGGAGTTCTGTTTTAGAGAAGGAGATATCTTCATCAAAAACTACACAGAAGCTTTCTGAGAAACTTCTTTGTGATGTGTGCATTCAACTATCGGAGTTGAACCTATCTTATGATTGAGCAGTTTGGAAACACTCTTTGTAGAGTCTGCAAGTGGATATTTACAGAGATTTGAGGCCTATTGTGGAAAAGGAAGTATCTTCACATAAAAACCTCACAGAAGCACTCTGAAAAACATCTTTGGGATGTGTGCATTCAACTAACCGTGTTGAAACAATGTTTTGATTGAGCAGCTTAGAATCTCTCTTTTTGTAGGAAATGCAAGTGGATATTTGGAGCCCCATTTCGCCCTATGGTGGAAAACGAAACATACTCACAAAAAAGCTGCAGAGAAGCATTCTGAGAAACTTCTTTGCGATGTTGGCATTCAACTCACAGAGTCGAATCTATCTTTTGATAGAGCAGTTTTGTATCTCTCTTTTTGCAGAATCTGCAAGTGGATATTTGGAAAGCTTTGAGGCCTATTGTGGAAAGGGAAATATCCTCAAATAAAAACTACCCAGAAGCACTCTGTGAAACTTCTTTGTGATGTGTGCATTCAACTCACAGTGTTGAACCTATGTTTTGATTGAGCAGTTTGGAATCTCTCCTTTTGTAGAATCTGCAAGTGAATATTTGGAGCCCTATTTCGCCCTATACTGGAAAAGCAAATATCTTCAAATAAAAACTACACAGAGGCCTTCAGAGAAACTTCTCTGTGATGAGTGCATTCATCACACAGAGTTGAACATTTGTTTAGATTTAGCAGTGTTGAGACAATCTTTCCGTAGAATCTTGAAGTGAATATTTGGAGGGCTTTGAGACCTGCTTTGGAGAAGGAGATATCTTCATATAAAAACTACACAGAAGCTTTCTGAGAAACACCCTTGTGAGGTGTGCATTGAAGTCACAGAGTTAAACCTATCTTTTGATTCAGCAGATTTGAATCTCTCTTTTTGCAGAATCTGCGAGTGGATATTTGGAGTGCTTGGAAGCCTGCTGTGGAAAATCAAATATCTTCACAAAAAAAACTACACAGAAGCATTCTGAGAAACTTCTTTGTGATGTGTGCATTGATCTCACAGAGTTGAAAGTTTATTTGTATTGAGCTGTTTTGAAACACTCTTTTTCTAGAATCTGCAAGTGGATAATTGGGGAGATTTGAGGCATATTGTGGAAAAGCAAATATCTTCATATAGAAACTATACAGAAACCTTCTGAGAAACATCTTTGTGATGTGTGCATTCAGCTCACAGAGCTGGACCTAACTTTTGAGTGACCAGTTTTGAATCTCTCTTTTTGTACAATATGCAAGTGGATATTTGGAGCGATTTGAGGCCTACATTTGAAAATCAAATATCTTCCCTTAAAAACTACACAGAAACATTCTCAGAAATTGTTTGTCATGTGTGCTTTCCAATTACCAAGTTGAACCTATCTTGTGATTGAGCAGTTTTGAATCTCTCTTTTTGTGGAATCGGCAAGTGGATATTTTTAGCCCTTTGCGGACTGTGGTGGAAAAGGAATTATCTTCAAATCAATTCTACACAGAAGCATTCAGACAAACTTCTTTGTGATGAGTGCATTGGTCACACAGAATTGAACCTTCCCTTTGATTGAGCAATTCTGAAACACTCTTTTGGAGGGTCTGCAAGTGGACATTTTAGAGCTTTGGGACAACTGTGGAAAAGTAAATATCTTCACATAAAAACTACACGGAAGCATTCTGAGAAACTTCTTTGGAGGTGTGCATTCAACTCACAGAGTTGAACCTATCTTTTCATTGAGCAGTTTTGAATCTCTCATTTTGTAGACTCTGCTCGCAGATATTTGGAGAGCTTTGAGGCCTATTGTGGAAAAGGAAATATCTTCACATAAAAACACACAGAAGCACTCTGAGAAACTTCTCTGTGAGGTGTGCTTTCAACTCACAGAGTTGAACCTATCTTTTGATTGAGAAGTTTTGAATCTCTCTTTTTGTAGAAGCTGCATGTGGATATTTGGAGACGTTTGTGGCCTATGGTAGAAAAGGAAATATCTTCAAATAAAAACTAGACAGACGCATTTTGAGAAAATTCTCTGTGCTGTGTGCATTCATATCACATGGTTGAAACTACCTTTGGATTGAGCAGTTTTGAATCTCACTTTTTGTACCATCTGCAATGGATATTTGGAGCCCTTTCTGGTCTGTGGTGGAAAAGGAACTATCCTCAAATAGAAACTACACAGAAGTACTCTGAGAAACTTCTTTGTGATGTGGGCATTCATCTCACAGAGTTGAACCTTTGGTTTGATTGAGCAGTTTTGAGACAATCTTTCCATAGAATCTGGAAGTGAATATTTGGAGAACTTTGAGATCCATTTTGGAGAAGGAGATACCTTTATATGAAAACTACACAGAAGCATTCTGAGAAACATCCTTGTGAGGTGTGCACTGAAGTCACAGAGTTGAAACTGTCTTTTGATTCAGCAGTTTTGAATCTCTCTTTTTGCAGAATCTGTGAGTGGATATTTGGAGCGCTTTGAGGCCTACTGTGGAAAACCAAATATCTTCACATAAAAACTACACAGAAGCATCCTGAGAAACTTTTTTTGTGATGTGGTCTTTCAGCTAATGGAGTAGAAACTATCTTTTGATTGAGCAGTTTTGAATCTCTCTTTTTGCAGAATCTACGAGTGGATAATTGGAGAACTTTGAGGCGTACTGTGGAAAGTCGAATATCTTCGCATAAAAACTACACAGAAGCATTCTGAGAAACTTCTCTGTCATACGTACATTCATCTCACAGGGTTGATCCTATTTCATGATTGAGCAGTTTTGGAACACTCTTTTTGTAGAATCTGCAAGTGAATATTTGGAGCTCTTTGGGGCCTACTGTGGAAAAACAAATATCTTCACATAAAAACTACACAGAAGCATTCTGAGAAACTACTTTGTGATGTGTGCATTCATCCCACAGAGTAGAACCTTTCTTTTGATTGAGCAGTTTCGAAACACGCTTTTGGTGGAATCTGCAAGTGGACATTTGGAAAGCTTTGAGGCCTATTGTGGAAAGGGAAATATCTTCAAATAAAAACCACCCAGAAGTACTCTGTGAAACTTCTTTGCGATGTATGCATTCAACTCACAGTGTTGAACCTATGTTTTGATTGAGCAGTTTGGAATCTCTCTTTCTGTAGAATCTGCAAGTGAATATTTGGAGCCCTATTTCGCCCTATACTGGAAAAGCAATTATCTTCAAATAAAAACTGCACAGAAGCATTCAGAGAAACTTCTTTGAGATGAATGCATTCATGACACAGAGTTGAAACTTTGTTTTGATTTAGGAGTTTTGAGACAATCTTTCCGTAGAATCTTGAAGTGAATATTTGGAGGGCTTGGAGTTCTGTTTTAGAGAAGGAGATATCTTCATCAAAAACTACACAGAAGCTTTCTGAGAAACTTCTTTGTGATGTGTGCATTCAACTATCGGAGTTGAACCTATCTTATGATTGAGCAGTTTGGAAACACTCTTTGTAGAGTCTGCAAGTGGATATTTACAGAGATTTGAGGCCTATTGTGGAAAAGGAAGTATCTTCACATAAAAACCACACAGAAGCACTCTGAAAAACATCTTTGGGATGTGTGCATTCAACTAACCGTGTTGAAACAATGTTTTGATTGAGCAGCTTAGAATCTCTCTTTTTGTAGGAAATGCAAGTGGATATTTGGAGCCCCATTTCGCCCTATGGTGGAAAACGAAACATACTCACAAAAAAGCTGCAGAGAAGCATTCTGAGAAACTTCTTTGCGATGTTGGCATTCAACTCACAGAGTCGAATCTATCTTTTGATAGAGCAGTTTTGTATCTCTCTTTTTGCAGAATCTGCAAGTGGATATTTGGAAAGCTTTGAGGCCTATTGTGGAAAGGGAAATATCCTCAAATAAAAACTACCCAGAAGCACTCTGTGAAACTTCTTTGTGATGTGTGCATTCAACTCACAGTGTTGAACCTATGTTTTGATTGAGCAGTTTGGAATCTCTCCTTTTGTAGAATCTGCAAGTGAATATTTGGAGCCCTATTTCGCCCTATACTGGAAAAGCAAATTCTTCAAATAAAAACTACACAGAGGCATTCAGAGAAACTACTCTGTGATGAGTGCATTCATCACACAGAGTTGAACATTTGTTTAGATTTAGCAGTGTTGAGACAATCTTTCCGTAGAATCTTGAAGTGAATATTTGGAGGGCTTTGAGACCTGCTTTGGAAAAGGAGATATCTTCATATAAAAACTACACAGAAGCTTTCTGAGAAACACCCTTGTGAGGTGTGCATTGAAGTCACAGAGTTAAACCTATCTTTTGATTCAGCAGATTTGAATCTCTCTTTTTGCAGAATCTGCGAGTGGATATTTGGAGTGCTTGGAAGCCTGCTGTGGAAAATCAAATATCTTCACAAAAAAAACTACACAGAAGCATTCTGAGAAACTTCTTTGTGATGTGTGCATTGATCTCACAGAGTTGAAAGTTTATTTTGATTGAGCTGTTTTGAAACACTCTTTTTCTAGAATCTGCAAGTGGATAATTGGGGAGATTTGAGGCATATTGTGGAAAAGCAAATATCTTCATATAAAAACTATACAGAAACCTTCTGAGAAACATCTTTGTGATGTGTGCATTCAGCTCACAGAGCTGGACCTAACTTTTGAGTGACCAGTTTTGAATCTCTCTTTTTGTACAATATGCAAGTGGATATTTGGAGCGATTTGAGGCCTACATTTGAAAATCAAATATCTTCCCTTAAAAACTACACAGAAACATTCTCAGAAATTGTTTGTCATGTGTGCTTTCCAATTACCAAGTTGAACCTATCTTGTGATTGAGCAGTTTTGAATCTCTCTTTTTGTGGAATCGGCAAGTGGATATTTTTAGCCCTTTGCGGACTGTGGTGGAAAAGGAATTATCTTCAAATCAATTCTACACAGAAGCATTCAGACAAACTTCTTTGTGATGAGTGCATTGGTCACACAGAATTGAACCTTCCCTTTGATTGAGCAATTCTGAAACACTCTTTTGGAGGGTCTGCAAGTGGATATTTTAGAGCTTTGGGACAACTGTGGAAAAGTAAATATCTTCACATAAAAACTACACGGAAGCATTCTGAGAAACTTCTTTGGAGGTGTGCATTCAACTCACAGAGTTGAACCTATCTTTTCATTGAGCAGTTTTGAATCTCTCATTTTGTAGACTCTGCTCGCAGATATTTGGAGAGCTTTGAGGCCTATTGTGGAAAAGGAAATATCTTCACATAAAAACACACAGAAGCACTCTGAGAAACTTCTTTGTGAGGTGTGCTTTCAACTCACAGAGTTGAACCTATCTTTTGATTGAGAAGTTTTGAATCTCTCTTTTTGTAGAAGCTGCATGTGGATATTTGGAGACGTTTGTGGCCTATGGTAGAAAAGGAAATATCTTCAAATAAAAACTAGACAGACGCATTTTGAGAAAATTCTCTGTGCTGTGTGCATTCACATCACATGGTTGAAACTACCTTTGGATTGAGCAGTTTTGAATCTCACTTTTTGTACCATCTGCAATGGATATTTGGAGCCCTTTCTGGTCTGTGGTGGAAAAGGAACTATCCTCAAATAGAAACTACACAGAAGTACTCTGAGAAACTTCTTTGTGATGTGTGCATTCATCTCACAGAGTTGAACCTTTGGTTTGATTGAGCAGTTTTGAGACAATCTTTCCATAGAATCTGGAAGTGAATATTTGGAGAACTTTGAGATCCATTTTGGAGAAGGAGATATCTTTATATAAAAACTACACAGAAGCATTCTGAGAAACATCCTTGTGAGGTGTGCACTGAAGTCACAGAGTTGAAACTGTCTTTTGATTCAGCAGTTTTGAATCTCTCTTTTTGCAGAATCTGTGAGTGGATATTTGGAGCGCTTTGAGGCCTACTGTGGAAAACCAAATATCTTCACATAAAAACTACACAGAAGCATCCTGAGAAACTTTTTTTGTGATGTGGTCTTTCAGCTAATGGAGTAGAAACTATCTTTTGATTGAGCAGTTTTGAATCTCTCTTTTTGCAGAATCTACGAGTGGATAATTGGAGAACTTTGAGGCGTACTGTGGAAAATCGAATATCTTCGCATAAAAACTACACTGAAGCATTCTGAGAAACTTCTCTGTCATACGTACATTCATCTCACAGAGTTGATCCTATTTCATGATTGAGCAGTTTTGGAACACTCTTTTTGTAGAATCTGCAAGTGAATATTTGGAGCTCTTTGGGGCCTACTGTGGAAAAACAAATATCTTCACATAAAAACTACACAGAAGCATTCTGAGAAACTACTTTGTGATGTGTGCATTCATCCCACAGAGTAGAACCTTTCTTTTGATTGAGCAGTTTCGAAACACTCTTTTGGTGGAATCTGCAAGTGGACATTTGGAAAGCTTTGAGGCCTATTGTGGAAAGGGAAATATCTTCAAATAAAAACCACCCAGAAGTACTCTGTGAAACTTCTTTGCGATGTATACATTCAAC
Organism: Homo sapiens; assembly: GCF_000001405.40. NCBI lineage: Eukaryota > Metazoa > Chordata > Mammalia > Primates > Hominidae > Homo > Homo sapiens. Next base: position 17,610,077 of record NC_000015.10, read on the forward strand.
TCACAGTGTTGAACCTATGTTTTGATTGAGCAGTTTGGAATCTCTCTTTCTGTAGAATCTGCAAGTGAATATTTGGAGCCCTATTTCGCCCTATACTGGAAAAGCAATTATCTTCAAATAAAAACTGCACAGAAGCATTCAGAGAAACTTCTTTGAGATGAATGCATTCATGACACAGAGTTGAAACTTTGTTTTGATTTAGGAGTTTTGAGACAATCTTTCCGTAGAATCTTGAAGTGAATATTTGGAGGGCTTGGAGTTCTGTTTTAGAGAAGAAGATATCTTCATCAAAAACTACACAGAAGCTTTCTGAGAAACTTCTTTGTGATGTGTGCATTCAACTATCGGAGTTGAACCTATCTTATGATTGAGCAGTTTGGAAACACTCTTTGTAGAGTCTGCAAGTGGATATTTACAGAGATTTGAGGCCTATTGTGGAAAAGGAAGTATCTTCACATAAAAACCACACAGAAGCACTCTGAGAAACATCTTTGGGATGTGTGCATTCAACTAACCGTGTTGAAACAATGTTTTGATTGAGCAGCTTAGAATCTCTCCTTTTGTAGGAAATGCAAGTGGATATTTGGAGCCCCATTTCGCCCTATGGTGGAAAACGAAACATACTCACAAAAAAGCTGCAGAGAAGCATTCTGAGAAACTTCTTTGCGATGTTGGCATTCAACTCACAGAGTCGAATCTATCTTTTGATAGAGCAGTTTTGTATCTCTCTTTTTGCAGAATCTGCAAGTGGATATTTGGAAAGCTTTGAGGCCTATTGTGGAAAGGGAAATATCCTCAAATAAAAACTACCCAGAAGCACTCTGTGAAACTTCTTTGTGATGTGTGCATTCAACTCACAGTGTTGAACCTATGTTTTGATTGAGCAGTTTGGAATCTCTCCTTTTGTAGTATCTGCAAGTGAATAGTTGGAGCCCTATTTCGCCCTATACTGGAAAAGCAAATATCTTCAAATAAAAACTACACAGAGGCATTCAGAGAAACTTCTCTGTGATGAGTGCATTCATCACACAGAGTTGAACATTTGTTTAGATTTAGCAGTGTTGAGACAATCTTTCCGTAGAATCTTGAAGTGAATATTTGGAGGGCTTTGAGACCTGCTTTGGAGAAGGAGATATCTTCATATAAAAACTACACAGAAGCTTTCTGAGAAACACCCTTGTGAGGTGTGCATTGAAGTCACAGAGTTAAACCTATCTTTTGATTCAGCAGATTTGAATCTCTCTTTTTGCAGAATCTGCGAGTGGATATTTGGAGTGCTTGGAAGCCTGCTGTGGAAAATCAAATATCTTCACAAAAAAACTACACAGAAGCATTCTGAGAAACTTCTTTGTGATGTGTGCATTGATCTCACAGAGTTGAAAGTTTATTTTGATTGAGCTGTTTTGAAACACTCTTTTTCTAGAATCTGCAAGTGGATAATTGGGGAGATTTGAGGCATATTGTGGAAAAGCAAATATCTTCATATAAAAACTATACAGAAACCTTCTGAGAAACATCTTTGTGATGTGTGCATTCAGCTCACAGAGCTGGACCTAACTTTTGAGTGACCAGTTTTGAATCTCTCTTTTTGTACAATATGCAAGTGGATATTTGGAGCGATTTGAGGCCTACATTTGAAAATCAAATATCTTCCCTTAAAAACTACACAGAAACATTCTCAGAAATTGTTTGTCATGTGTGCTTTCCAATTACCAAGTTGAACCTATCTTGTGATTGAGCAGTTTTGAATCTCTCTTTTTGTGGAATCGGCAAGTGGATATTTTTAGCCCTTTGCGGACTGTGGTGGAAAAGGAATTATCTTCAAATCAATTCTACACAGAAGCATTCAGACAAACTTCTTTGTGATGAGTGCATTGGTCACACAGAATTGAACCTTCCCTTTGATTGAGCAATTCTGAAACACTCTTTTGGAGGGTCTGCAAGTGGACATTTTAGAGCTTTGGGACAACTGTGGAAAAGTAAATATCTTCACATAAAAACTACACGGAAGCATTCTGAGAAACTTCTTTGGAGGTGTGCATTCAACTCACAGAGTTGAACCTATCTTTTCATTGAGCAGTTTTGAATCTCTCATTTTGTAGACTCTGCTCGCAGATATTTGGAGAGCTTTGAGGCCTATTGTGGAAAAGGAAATATCTTCACATAAAAACACACAGAAGCACTCTGAGAAACTTCTCTGTGAGGTGTGCTTTCAACTCACAGAGTTGAACCTATCTTTTGATTGAGAAGTTTTGAATCTCTCTTTTTGTAGAAGCTGCATGTGGATATTTGGAGACGTTTGTGGCCTATGGTAGAAAAGGAAATATCTTCAAATAAAAACTAGACAGACGCATTTTGAGAAAATTCTCTGTGCTGTGTGCATTCATATCACATGGTTGAAACTACCTTTGGATTGAGCAGTTTTGAATCTCACTTTTTGTACCATCTGCAATGGATATTTGGAGCCCTTTCTGGTCCTGTGGTGGAAAAGGAACTATCCTCAAATAGAAACTACACAGAAGTACTCTGAGAAACTTCTTTGTGATGTGGGCATTCATCTCACAGAGTTGAACCTTTGGTTTGATTGAGCAGTTTTGAGACAATCTTTCCATAGAATCTGGAAGTGAATATTTGGAGAACTTTGAGATCCATTTTGGAGAAGGAGATATCTTTATATAAAAACTACACAGAAGCATTCTGAGAAACATCCTTGTGAGGTGTGCACTGAAGTCACAGAGTTGAAACTGTCTTTTGATTCAGCAGTTTTGAATCTCTCTTTTTGCAGAATCTGTGAGTGGATATTTGGAGCGCTTTGAGGCCTACTGTGGAAAACCAAATATCTTCACATAAAAACTACACAGAAGCATCCTGAGAAACTTTTTTTGTGATGTGGTCTTTCAGCTAATGGAGTAGAAACTATCTTTTGATTGAGCAGTTTTGAATCTCTCTTTTTGCAGAATCTACGAGTGGATAATTGGAGAACTTTGAGGCGTACTGTGGAAAATCGAATATCTTCGCATAAAAACTACACAGAAGCATTCTGAGAAACTTCTCTGTCATACGTACATTCATCTCACAGGGTTGATCCTATTTCATGATTGAGCAGTTTTGGAACACTCTTTTTGTAGAATCTGCAAGTGAATATTTGGAGCTCTTTGGGGCCTACTGTGGAAAAACAAATATCTTCACATAAAAACTACACAGAAGCATTCTGAGAAACTACTTTGTGATGTGTGCATTCATCCCACAGAGTAGAACCTTTCTTTTGATTGAGCAGTTTCGAAACACTCTTTTGGTGGAATCTGCAAGTGGACATTTGGAAAGCTTTGAGGCCTATTGTGGAAAGGGAAATATCTTCAAATAAAAACCACCCAGAAGTACTCTGTGAAACTTCTTTGCGATGTATGCATTCAACTCACAGTGTTGAACCTATGTTTTGATTGAGCAGTTTGGAATCTCTCTTTCTGTAGAATCTGCAAGTGAATATTTGGAGCCCTATTTCGCCCTATACTGGAAAAGCAATTATCTTCAAATAAAAACTGCACAGAAGCATTCAGAGAAACTTCTTTGAGATGAATGCATTCATGACACAGAGTTGAAACTTTGTTTTGATTTAGGAGTTTTGAGACAATCTTTCCGTAGAATCTTGAAGTGAATATTTGGAGGGCTTGGAGTTCTGTTTTAGAGAAGAAGATATCTTCATCAAAAACTACACAGAAGCTTTCTGAGAAACTTCTTTGTGATGTGTGCATTCAACTATCGGAGTTGAACCTATCTTATGATTGAGCAGTTTGGAAACACTCTTTGTAGAGTCTGCAAGTGGATATTTACAGAGATTTGAGGCCTATTGTGGAAAAGGAAGTATCTTCACATAAAAACCACACAGAAGCACTCTGAAAAACATCTTTGGGATGTGTGCATTCAACTAACCGTGTTGAAACAATGTTTTGATTGAGCAGCTTAGAATCTCTCTTTTTGTAGGAAATGCAAGTGGATATTTGGAGCCCCATTTCGCCCTATGGTGGAAAACGAAACATACTCACAAAAAAGCTGCAGAGAAGCATTCTGAGAAACTTCTTTGCGATGTTGGCATTCAACTCACAGAGTCGAATCTATCTTTTGATAGAGCAGTTTTGTATCTCTCTTTTTGCAGAATCTGCAAGTGGATATTTGGAAAGCTTTGAGGCCTATTGTGGAAAGGGAAATATCCTCAAATAAAAACTACCCAGAAGCACTCTGTGAAACTTCTTTGTGATGTGTGCATTCAACTCACAGTGTTGAACCTATGTTTTGATTGAGCAGTTTGGAATCTCTCCTTTTGTAGAATCTGCAAGTGAATATTTGGAGCCCTATTTCGCCCTATACTGGAAAAGCAAATATCTTCAAATAAAAACTACACAGAGGCATTCAGAGAAACTTCTCTGTGATGAGTGCATTCATCACACAGAGTTGAACATTTGTTTAGATTTAGCAGTGTTGAGACAATCTTTCCGTAGAATCTTGAAGTGAATATTTGGAGGGCTTTGAGACCTGCTTTGGAGAAGGAGATATCTTCATATAAAAACTACACAGAAGCTTTCTGAGAAACACCATTGTGAGGTGTGCATTGAAGTCACAGAGTTAAACCTATCTTTTGATTCAGCAGATTTGAGTCTCTCTTTTTGCAGAATCTGCGAGTGGATATTTGGAGTGCTTGGAAGCCTGCTGTGGAAAATCAAATATCTTCACAAAAAAAACTACACAGAAGCATTCTGAGAAACTTCTTTGTGATGTGTGCATTGATCTCACAGAGTTGAAAGTTTATTTTGATTGAGCTGTTCTGAAACACTCTTTTTCTAGAATCTGCAAGTGGATAATTGGGGAGATTTGAGGCATATTGTGGAAAAGCAAATATCTTCATATAGAAACTATACAGAAACCTTCTGAGAAACATCTTTGTGATGTGTGCATTCAGCTCACAGAGCTGGACCTAACTTTTGAGTGACCAGTTTTGAATCTCTCTTTTTGTACAATATGCAAGTGGATATTTGGAGCGATTTGAGGCCTACATTTGAAAATCAAATATCTTCCCTTAAAAACTACACAGAAACATTCTCAGAAATTGTTTGTCATGTGTGCTTTCCAATTACCAAGTTGAACCTATCTTGTGATTGAGCAGTTTTGAATCTCTCTTTTTGTGGAATCGGCAAGTGGATATTTTTAGCCCTTTGCGGACTGTGGTGGAAAAGGAATTATCTTCAAATCAATTCTACACAGAAGCATTCAGACAAACTTCTTTGTGATGAGTGCATTGGTCACACAGAATTGAACCTTCCCTTTGATTGAGCAATTCTGAAACACTCTTTTGGAGGGTCTGCAAGTGGATATTTTAGAGCTTTGGGACAACTGTGGAAAAGTAAATATCTTCACATAAAAACTACACGGAAGCATTCTGAGAAACTTCTTTGGAGGTGTGCATTCAACTCACAGAGTTGAACCTATCTTTTCATTGAGCAGTTTTGAATCTCTCATTTTGTAGACTCTGCTCGCAGATATTTGGAGAGCTTTGAGGCCTATTGTGGAAAAGGAAATATCTTCACATAAAAACACACAGAAGCACTCTGAGAAACTTCTTTGTGAGGTGTGCTTTCAACTCACAGAGTTGAACCTATCTTTTGATTGAGAAGTTTTGAATCTCTCTTTTTGTAGAAGCTGCATGTGGATATTTGGAGACGTTTGTGGCCTATGGTAGAAAAGGAAATATCTTCAAATAAAAACTAGACAGACGCATTTTGAGAAAATTCTCTGTGCTGTGTGCATTCATATCACATGGTTGAAACTACCTTTGGATTGAGCAGTTTTGAATCTCACTTTTTGTACCATCTGCAATGGATATTTGGAGCCCTTTCTGGTCTGTGGTGGAAAAGGAACTATCCTCAAATAGAAACTACACAGAAGTACTCTGAGAAACTTCTTTGTGATGTGGGCATTCATCTCACAGAGTTGAACCTTTGGTTTGATTGAGCAGTTTTGAGACAATCTTTCCATAGAATCTGGAAGTGAATATTTGGAGAACTTTGAGATCCATTTTGGAGAAGGAGATATCTTTATATGAAAACTACACAGAAGCATTCTGAGAAACATCCTTGTGAGGTGTGCACTGAAGTCACAGAGTTGAAACTGTCTTTTGATTCAGCAGTTTTGAATCTCTCTTTTTGCAGAATCTGTGAGTGGATATTTGGAGCGCTTTGAGGCCTACTGTGGAAAACCAAATATCTTCACATAAAAACTACACAGAAGCATCCTGAGAAACTTTTTTTGTGATGTGGTCTTTCAGCTAATGGAGTAGAAACTATCTTTTGATTGAGCAGTTTTGAATCTCTCTTTTTGCAGAATCTACGAGTGGATAATTGGAGAACTTTGAGGCGTACTGTGGAAAATCGAATATCTTCGCATAAAAACTACACAGAAGCATTCTGAGAAACTTCTCTGTCATACGTACATTCATCTCACAGGGTTGATCCTATTTCATGATTGAGCAGTTTTGGAACACTCTTTTTGTAGAATCTGCAAGTGAATATTTGGAGCTCTTTGGGGCCTACTGTGGAAAAACAAATATCTTCACATAAAAACTACACAGAAGCATTCTGAGAAACTACTTTGTGATGTGTGCATTCATCCCACAGAGTAGAACCTTTCTTTTGATTGAGCAGTTTCGAAACACGCTTTTGGTGGAATCTGCAAGTGGACATTTGGAAAGCTTTGAGGCCTATTGTGGAAAGGGAAATATCTTCAAATAAAAACCACCCAGAAGTACTCTGTGAAACTTCTTTGCGATGTATGCATTCAACTCACAGTGTTGAACCTATGTTTTGATTGAGCAGTTTGGAATCTCTCTTTCTGTAGAATCTGCAAGTGAATATTTGGAGCCCTATTTCGCCCTATACTGGAAAAGCAATTATCTTCAAATAAAAACTGCACAGAAGCATTCAGAGAAAGTTCTTTGAGATGAATGCATTCATGACACAGAGTTGAAACTTTGTTTTGATTTAGGAGTTTTGAGACAATCTTTCCGTAGAATCTTGAAGTGAATATTTGGAGGGCTTGGAGTTCTGTTTTAGAGAAGGAGATATCTTCATCAAAAACTACACAGAAGCTTTCTGAGAAACTTCTTTGTGATGTGTGCATTCAACTATCGGAGTTGAACCTATCTTATGATTGAGCAGTTTGGAAACACTCTTTGTAGAGTCTGCAAGTGGATATTTACAGAGATTTGAGGCCTATTGTGGAAAAGGAAGTATCTTCACATAAAAACCACACAGAAGCACTCTGAAAAACATCTTTGGGATGTGTGCATTCAACTAACCGTGTTGAAACAATGTTTTGATTGAGCAGCTTAGAATCTCTCTTTTTGTAGGAAATGCAAGTGGATATTTGGAGCCCCATTTCGCCCTATGGTGGAAAACGAAACATACTCACAAAAAAGCTGCAGAGAAGCATTCTGAGAAACTTCTTTGCGATGTTGGCATTCAACTCACAGAGTCGAATCTATCTTTTGATAGAGCAGTTTTGTATCTCTCTTTTTGCAGAATCTGCAAGTGGATATTTGGAAAGCTTTGAGGCCTATTGTGGAAAGGGAAATATCCTCAAATAAAAACTACCCAGAAGCACTCTGTGAAACTTCTTTGTGATGTGTGCATTCAACTCACAGTGTTGAACCTATGTTTTGATTGAGCAGTTTGGAATCTCTCCTTTTGTAGAATCAGCAAGTGAATATTTGGAGCCCTATTTCGCCCTATACTGGAAAAGCAAATATCTTCAAATAAAAACTACACAGAGGCATTCAGAGAAACTTCTCTGTGATGAGTGCATTCATCACACAGAGTTGAACATTTGTTTAGATTTAGCAGTGTTGAGACAATCTTTCCGTAGAATCTTGAAGTGAATATTTGGAGGGCTTTGAGACCTGCTTTGGAGAAGGAGATATCTTCATATAAAAACTACACAGAAGCTTTCTGAGAAACACCCTTGTGAGGTGTGCATTGAAGTCACAGAGTTAAACCTATCTTTTGATTCAGCAGATTTGAATCTCTCTTTTTGCAGAATCTGCGAGTGGATATTTGGAGTGCTTGGAAGCCTGCTGTGGAAAATCAAATATCTTCACAAAAAAAACTACACAGAAGCATTCTGAGAAACTTCTTTGTGATGTGTGCATTGATCTCACAGAGTTGAAAGTTTATTTTGATTGAGCTGTTTTGAAACACTCTTTTTCTAGAATCTGCAAGTGGATAATTGGGGAGATTTGAGGCATATTGTGGAAAAGCAAATATCTTCATATAAAAACTATACAGAAACCTTCTGAGAAACATCTTTGTGATGTGTGCATTCAGCTCACAGAGCTGGACCTAACTTTTGAGTGACCAGTTTTGAATCTCTCTTTTTGTACAATATGCAAGTGGATATTTGGAGCGATTTGAGGCCTACATTTGAAAATCAAATATCTTCCCTTAAAAACTACACAGAAACATTCTCAGAAATTGTTTGTCATGTGTGCTTTCCAATTACCAAGTTGAACCTATCTTGTGATTGAGCAGTTTGGAATCTCTCTTTTTGTGGAATCGGCAAGTGGATATTTTTAGCCCTTTGCGGACTGTGGTGGAAAAGGAATTATCTTCAAATCAATTCTACACAGAAGCATTCAGACAAACTTCTTTGTGATGAGTGCATTGGTCACACAGAATTGAACCTTCCCTTTGATTGAGCAATTCTGAAACACTCTTTTGGAGGGTCTGCAAGTGGACATTTTAGAGCTTTGGGACAACTGTGGAAAAGTAAATATCTTCACATAAAAACTACACGGAAGCATTCTGAGAAACTTCTTTGGAGGTGTGCATTCAACTCACAGAGTTGAACCTATCTTTTCATTGAGCAGTTTTGAATCTCTCATTTTGTAGACTCTGCTCGCAGATATTTGGAGAGCTTTGAGGCCTGTTGTGGAAAAGGAAATATCTTCACATAAAAACACACAGAAGCACTCTGAGAAACTTCTTTGTGAGGTGTGCTTTCAACTCACAGAGTTGAACCTATCTTTTGATTGAGAAGTTTTGAATCTCTCTTTTTGTAGAAGCTGCATGTGGATATTTGGAGACGTTTGTGGCCTGTGGTAGAAAAGGAAATATCTTCAAATAAAAACTAGACAGACGCATTTTGAGAAAATTCTCTGTGCTGTGTGCATTCATATCACATGGTTGAAACTACCTTTGGATTGAGCAGTTTTGAATCTCACTTTTTGTACCATCTGCAATGGATATTTGGAGCCCTTTCTGGTCTGTGGTGGAAAAGGAACTATCCTCAAATAGAAACTACACAGAAGTACTCTGAGAAACTTCTTTGTGATGTGGGCATTCATCTCACAGAGTTGAACCTTTGGTTTGATTGAGCAGTTTTGAGACAATCTTTCCATAGAATCTGGAAGTGAATATTTGGAGAACTTTGAGATCCATTTTGGAGAAGGAGATATCTTTATATAAAAACTACACAGAAGCATTCTGAGAAACATCCTTGTGAGGTGTGCACTGAAGTCACAGAGTTGAAACTGTCTTTTGATTCAGCAGTTTTGAATCTCTCTTTTTGCAGAATCTGTGAGTGGATATTTGGAGCGCTTTGAGGCCTACTGTGGAAAACCAAATATCTTCACATAAAAACTACACAGAAGCATCCTGAGAAACTTTTTTTGTGATGTGGTCTTTCAGCTAATGGAGTAGAAACTATCTTTTGATTGAGCAGGTTTGAATCTCTCTTTTTGCAGAATCTACGAGTGGATAATTGGAGAACTTTGAGGCGTACTGTGGAAAATCGAATATCTTCGCATAAAAACTACACAGAAGCATTCTGAGAAACTTCTCTGTCATACGTACATTCATCTCACAGGGTTGATCCTATTTCATGATTGAGCAGTTTTGGAACACTCTTTTTGTAGAATCTGCAAGTGAATATTTGGAGCTCCTTGGGGCCTACTGTGGAAAAACAAATATCTTCACATAAAAACTACACAGAAGCATTCTGAGAAACTACTTTGTGATGTGTGCATTCATCCCACAGAGTAGAACCTTTCTTTTGATTGAGCAGTTTCGAAACACTCTTTTGGTGGAATCTGCAAGTGGACATTTGGAAAGCTTTGAGGTCTATTGTGGAAAGGGAAATATCTTCAAATAAAAACCACCCAGAAGTACTCTGTGAAACTTCTTTGCGATGTATGCATTCAACTCACAGTGTTGAACCTATGTTTTGATTGAGCAGTTTGGAATCTCTCTTTCTGTAGAATCTGCAAGTGAATATTTGGAGCCCTATTTCGCCCTATACTGGAAAAGCAATTATCTTCAAATAAAAACTGCACAGGAAGCATTCAGAGAAAGTTCTTTGAGATGAATGCATTCATGACACAGAGTTGAAACTTTGTTTTGATTTAGGAGTTTTGAGACAATCTTTCCGTAGAATCTTGAAGTGAATATTTGGAGGGCTTGGAGTTCTGTTTTAGAGAAGGAGATATCTTCATCAAAAACTACACAGAAGCTTTCTGAGAAACTTCTTTGTGATGTGTGCATTCAACTATCGGAGTTGAACCTATCTTATGATTGAGCAGTTTGGAAACACTCTTTGTAGAGTCTGCAAGTGGATATTTACAGAGATTTGAGGCCTATTGTGGAAAAGGAAGTATCTTCACATAAAAACCACACAGAAGCACTCTGAAAAACATCTTTGGGATGTGTGCATTCAAGTAACCGTGTTGAAACAATGTTTTGATTGAGCAGCTTAGAATCTCTCTTTTTGTAGGAAATGCAAGTGGATATTTGGAGCCCCATTTCGCCCTATGGTGGAAAACGAAACATACTCACAAAAAAGCTGCAGAGAAGCATTCTGAGAAACTTCTTTGCGATGTTGGCATTCAACTCACAGAGTCGAATCTATCTTTTGATAGAGCAGTTTTGTATCTCTCTTTTTGCAGAATCTGCAAGTGGATATTTGGAAAGCTTTGAGGCCTATTGTGGAAAGGGAAATATCCTCAAATAAAAACTACCCAGAAGCACTCTGTGAAACTTCTTTGTGATGTGTGCATTCAACTCACAGTGTTGAACCTATGTTTTGATTGAGCAGTTTGGAATCTCTCCTTTTGTAGAATCTGCAAGTGAATATTTGGAGCCCTATTTCGCCCTATACTGGAAAAGCAAATATCTTCAAATAAAAACTACACAGAGGCATTCAGAGAAACTTCTCTGTGATGAGTGCATTCATCACACAGAGTTGAACATTTGTTTAGATTTAGCAGTGTTGAGACAATCTTTCCGTAGAATCTTGAAGTGAATATTTGGAGGGCTTTGAGACCTGCTTTGGAGAAGGAGATATCTTCATATAAAAACTACACAGAAGCTTTCTGAGAAACACCCTTGTGAGGTGTGCATTGAAGTCACAGAGTTAAACCTATCTTTTGATTCAGCAGATTTGAATCTCTCTTTTTGCAGAATCTGCGAGTGGATATTTGGAGTGCTTGGAAGCCTGCTGTGGAAAATCAAATATCTTCACAAAAAAAACTACACAGAAGCATTCTGAGAAACTTCTTTGTGATGTGTGCATTGATCTCACAGAGTTGAAAGTTTATTTTGATTGAGCTGTTTTGAAACACTCTTTTTCTAGAATCTGCAAGTGGATAATTGGGGAGATTTGAGGCATATTGTGGAAAAGCAAATATCTTCATATAGAAACTATACAGAAACCTTCTGAGAAACATCTTTGTGATGTGTGCATTCAGCTCACAGAGCTGGACCTAACTTTTGAGTGACCAGTTTTGAATCTCTCTTTTTGTACAATATGCAAGTGGATATTTGGAGCGATTTGAGGCCTACATTTGAAAATCAAATATCTTCCCTTAAAAACTACACAGAAACATTCTCAGAAATTGTTTGTCATGTGTGCTTTCCAATTACCAAGTTGAACCTATCTTGTGATTGAGCAGTTTTGAATCTCTCTTTTTGTGGAATCGGCAAGTGGATATTTTTAGCCCTTTGCGGACTGTGGTGGAAAAGGAATTATCTTCAAATCAATTCTACACAGAAGCATTCAGACAAACTTCTTTGTGATGAGTGCATTGGTCACACAGAATTGAACCTTCCCTTTGATTGAGCAATTCTGAAACACTCTTTTGGAGGGTCTGCAAGTGGACATTTTAGAGCTTTGGGACAACTGTGGAAAAGTAAATATCTTCACATAAAAACTACACGGAAGCATTCTGAGAAACTTCTTTGGAGGTGTGCATTCAACTCACAGAGTTGAACCTATCTTTTCATTGAGCAGTTTTGAATCTCTCATTTTGTAGACTCTGCTCGCAGATATTTGGAGAGCTTTGAGGCCTATTGTGGAAAAGGAAATATCTTCACATAAAAACACACAGAAGCACTCTGAGAAACTTCTCTGTGAGGTGTGCTTTCAACTCACAGAGTTGAACCTATCTTTTGATTGAGAAGTTTTGAATCTCTCTTTTTGTAGAAGCTGCATGTGGATATTTGGAGACGTTTGTGGCCTATGGTAGAAAAGGAAATATCTTCAAATAAAAACTAGGCAGACGCATTTTGAGAAAATTCTCTGTGCTGTGTGCATTCATATCACATGGTTGAAACTACCTTTGGATTGAGCAGTTTTGAATCTCACTTTTTGTACCATCTGCAATGGATATTTGGAGCCCTTTCTGGTCTGTGGTGGAAAAGGAACTATCCTCAAATAGAAACTACACAGAAGCACTCTGAGAAACTTCTTTGTGATGTGGGCATTCATCTCACAGAGTTGAACCTTTGGTTTGATTGAGCAGTTTTGAGACAATCTTTCCATAGAATCTGGAAGTGAATATTTGGAGAACTTTGAGATCCATTTTGGAGAAGGAGATATCTTTATATGAAAACTACACAGAAGCATTCTGAGAAACATCCTTGTGAGGTGTGCACTGAAGTCACAGAGTTGAAACTGTCTTTTGATTCAGCAGTTTTGAATCTCTCTTTTTGCAGAATCTGTGAGTGGATATTTGGAGCGCTTTGAGGCCTACTGTGGAAAACCAAATATCTTCACATAAAAACTACACAGAAGCATCCTGAGAAACTTTTTTTGTGATGTGGTCTTTCAGCTAATGGAGTAGAAACTATCTTTTGATTGAGCAGTTTTGAATCTCTCTTTTTGCAGAATCTACGAGTGGATAATTGGAGAACTTTGAGGCGTACTGTGGAAAATCGAATATCTTCGCATAAAAACTACACAGAAGCATTCTGAGAAACTTCTCTGTCATACGTACATTCATCTCACAGGGTTGATCCTATTTCATGATTGAGCAGTTTTGGAACACTCTTTTTGTAGAATCTGCAAGTGAATATTTGGAGCTCCTTGGGGCCTACTGTGGAAAAACAAATATCTTCACATAAAAACTACACAGAAGCATTCTGAGAAACTACTTTGTGATGTGTGCATTCATCCCACAGAGTAGAACCTTTCTTTTGATTGAGCAGTTTCGAAACACTCTTTTGGTGGAATCTGCAAGTGGACATTTGGAAAGCTTTGAGGCCTATTGTGGAAAGGGAAATATCTTCAAATAAAAACCACCCAGAAGTACTCTGTGAAACTTCTTTGCGATGTATGCATTCAACTCACAGTGTTGAACCTATGTTTTGATTGAGCAGTTTGGAATCTCTCTTTCTGTAGAATCTGCAAGTGAATATTTGGAGCCCTATTTCGCCCTATACTGGAAAAGCAATTATCTTCAAATAAAAACTGCACAGAAGCATTCAGAGAAAGTTCTTTGAGATGAATGCATTCATGACACAGAGTTGAAACTTTGTTTTGATTTAGGAGTTTTGAGACAATCTTTCCGTAGAATCTTGAAGTGAATATTTGGAGGGCTTGGAGTTCTGTTTTAGAGAAGGAGATATCTTCATCAAAAACTACACAGAAGCTTTCTGAGAAACTTCTTTGTGATGTGTGCATTCAACTATCGGAGTTGAACCTATCTTATGATTGAGCAGTTTGGAAACACTCTTTGTAGAGTCTGCAAGTGGATATTTACAGAGATTTGAGGCCTATTGTGGAAAAGGAAGTATCTTCACATAAAAACCACACAGAAGCACTCTGAAAAACATCTTTGGGATGTCTGCATTCAACTAACCGTGTTGAAACAATGTTTTGATTGAGCAGCTTAGAATCTCTCTTTTTGTAGGAAATGCAAGTGGATATTTGGAGCCCCATTTCGCCCTATGGTGGAAAACGAAACATACTCACAAAAAAGCTGCAGAGAAGCATTCTGAGAAACTTCTTTGCGATGTTGGCATTCAACTCACAGAGTCGAATCTATCTTTTGATAGAGCAGTTTTGTATCTCTCTTTTTGCAGAATCTGCAAGTGGATATTTGGAAAGCTTTGAGGCCTATTGTGGAAAGGGAAATATCCTCAAATAAAAACTACCCAGAAGCACTCTGTGAAACTTCTTTGTGATGTGTGCATTCAACTCACAGTGTTGAACCTATGTTTTGATTGAGCAGTTTGGAATCTCTCCTTTTGTAGAATCTGCAAGTGAATATTTGGAGCCCTATTTCGCCCTATACTGGAAAAGCAAATATCTTCAAATAAAAACTACACAGAGGCATTCAGAGAAACTTCTCTGTGATGAGTGCATTCATCACACAGAGTTGAACATTTGTTTAGATTTAGCAGTGTTGAGACAATCTTTCCGTAGAATCTTGAAGTGAATATTTGGAGGGCTTTGAGACCTGCTTTGGAGAAGGAGATATCTTCATATAAAAACTACACAGAAGCTTTCTGAGAAACACCCTTGTGAGGTGTGCATTGAAGTCACAGAGTTAAACCTATCTTTTGATTCAGCAGATTTGAATCTCTCTTTTTGCAGAATCTGCGAGTGGATATTTGGAGTGCTTGGAAGCCTGCTGTGGAAAATCAAATATCTTCACAAAAAAAACTACACAGAAGCATTCTGAGAAACTTCTTTGTGATGTGTGCATTGATCTCACAGAGTTGAAAGTTTATTTTGATTGAGCTGTTTTGAAACACTCTTTTTCTAGAATCTGCAAGTGGATAATTGGGGAGATTTGAGGCATATTGTGGAAAAGCAAATATCTTCATATAAAAACTATACAGAAACCTTCTGAGAAACATCTTTGTGATGTGTGCATTCAGCTCACAGAGCTGGACCTAACTTTCGAGTGACCAGTTTTGAATCTCTCTTTTTGTACAATATGCAAGTGGATATTTGGAGCGATTTGAGGCCTACATTTGAAAATCAAATATCTTCCCTTAAAAACTACACAGAAACATTCTCAGAAATTGTTTGTCATGTGTGCTTTCCAATTACCAAGTTGAACCTATCTTGTGATTGAGCAGTTTTGAATCTCTCTTTTTGTGGAATCGGCAAGTGGATATTTTTAGCCCTTTGCGGACTGTGGTGGAAAAGGAATTATCTTCAAATCAATTCTACACAGAAGCATTCAGACAAACTTCTTTGTGATGAGTGCATTGGTCACACAGAATTGAACCTTCCCTTTGATTGAGCAATTCTGAAACACTCTTTTGGAGGGTCTGCAAGTGGACATTTTAGAGCTTTGGGACAACTGTGGAAAAGTAAATATCTTCACATAAAAACTACACGGAAGCATTCTGAGAAACTTCTTTGGAGGTGTGCATTCAACTCACAGAGTTGAACCTATCTTTTCATTGAGCAGTTTTGAATCTCTCATTTTGTAGACTCTGCTCGCAGATATTTGGAGAGCTTTGAGGCCTATTGTGGAAAAGGAAATATCTTCACATAAAAACACACAGAAGCACTCTGAGAAACTTCTTTGTGAGGTGTGCTTTCAACTCACAGAGTTGAACCTATCTTTTGATTGAGAAGTTTTGAATCTCTCTTTTTGTAGAAGCTGCATGTGGATATTTGGAGACGTTTGTGGCCTATGGTAGAAAAGGAAATATCTTCAAATAAAAACTAGACAGACGCATTTTGAGAAAATTCTCTGTGCTGTGTGCATTCATATCACATGGTTGAAACTACCTTTGGATTGAGCAGTTTTGAATCTCACTTTTTGTACCATCTGCAATGGATATTTGGAGCCCTTTCTGGTCTGTGGTGGAAAAGGAACTATCCTCAAATAGAAACTACACAGAAGTACTCTGAGAAACTTCTTTGTGATGTGGGCATTCATCTCACAGAGTTGAACCTTTGGTTTGATTGAGCAGTTTTGAGACAATCTTTCCATAGAATCTGGAAGTGAATATTTGGAGAACTTTGAGATCCATTTTGGAGAAGGAGATATCTTTATATGAAAACTACACAGAAGCATTCTGAGAAACATCCTTGTGAGGTGTGCACTGAAGTCACAGAGTTGAAACTGTCTTTTGATTCAGCAGTTTTGAATCTCTCTTTTTGCAGAATCTGTGAGTGGATATTTGGAGCGCTTTGAGGCCTACTGTGGAAAACCAAATATCTTCACATAAAAACTACACAGAAGCATCCTGAGAAACTTTTTTTGTGATGTGGTCTTTCAGCTAATGGAGTAGAAACTATCTTTTGATTGAGCAGTTTTGAATCTCTCTTTTTGCAGAATCTACGAGTGGATAATTGGAGAACTTTGAGGCGTACTGTGGAAAATCGAATATCTTCGCATAAAAACTACACAGAAGCATTCTGAGAAACTTCTCTGTCATACGTACATTCATCTCACAGGGTTGATCCTATTTCATGATTGAGCAGTTTTGGAACACTCTTTTTGTAGAATCTGCAAGTGAATATTTGGAGCTCTTTGGGGCCTACTGTGGAAAAACAAATATCTTCACATAAAAACTACACAGAAGCATTCTGAGAAACTACTTTGTGATGTGTGCATTCATCCCACAGAGTAGAACCTTTCTTTTGATTGAGCAGTTTCGAAACACTCTTTTGGTGGAATCTGCAAGTGGACATTTGGAAAGCTTTGAAGCCTATTGTGGAAAGGGAAATATCTTCAAATAAAAACCACCCAGAAGTACTCTGTGAAACTTCTTTGCGATGTATGCATTCAACTCACAGTGTTGAACCTATGTTTTGATTGAGCAGTTTGGAATCTCTCTTTCTGTAGAATCTGCAAGTGAATATTTGGAGCCCTATTTCGCCCTATACTGGAAAAGCAATTATCTTCAAATAAAAACTGCACAGAAGCATTCAGAGAAAGTTCTTTGAGATGAATGCATTCATGACACAGAGTTGAAACTTTGTTTTGATTTAGGAGTTTTGAGACAATCTTTCCGTAGAATCTTGAAGTGAATATTTGGAGGGCTTGGAGTTCTGTTTTAGAGAAGGAGATATCTTCATCAAAAACTACACAGAAGCTTTCTGAGAAACTTCTTTGTGATGTGTGCATTCAACTATCGGAGTTGAACCTATCTTATGATTGAGCAGTTTGGAAACACTCTTTGTAGAGTCTGCAAGTGGATATTTACAGAGATTTGAGGCCTATTGTGGAAAAGGAAGTATCTTCACATAAAAACCACACAGAAGCACTCTGAAAAACATCTTTGGGATGTGTGCATTCAACTAACCGTGTTGAAACAATGTTTTGATTGAGCAGCTTAGAATCTCTCTTTTTGTAGGAAATGCAAGTGGATATTTGGAGCCCCATTTCGCCCTATGGTGGAAAACGAAACATACTCACAAAAAAGCTGCAGAGAAGCATTCTGAGAAACTTCTTTGCGATGTTGGCATTCAACTCACAGAGTCGAATCTATCTTTTGATAGAGCAGTTTTGTATCTCTCTTTTTGCAGAATCTGCAAGTGGATATTTGGAAAGCTTTGAGGCCTATTGTGGAAAGGGAAATATCCTCAAATAAAAACTACCCAGAAGCACTCTGTGAAACTTCTTTGTGATGTGTGCATTCAACTCACAGTGTTGAACCTATGTTTTGATTGAGCAGTTTGGAATCTCTCCTTTTGTAGAATCTGCAAGTGAATATTTGGAGCCCTATTTCGCCCTATACTGGAAAAGCAAATATCTTCAAATAAAAACTACACAGAGGCATTCAGAGAAACTTCTCTGTGATGAGTGCATTCATCACACAGAGTTGAACATTTGTTTAGATTTAGCAGTGTTGAGACAATCTTTCCGTAGAATCTTGAAGTGAATATTTGGAGGGCTTTGAGACCTGCTTTGGAGAAGGAGATATCTTCATATAAAAACTACACAGAAGCTTTCTGAGAAACACCCTTGTGAGGTGTGCATTGAAGTCACAGAGTTAAACCTATCTTTTGATTCAGCAGATTTGAATCTCTCTTTTTGCAGAATCTGCGAGTGGATATTTGGAGTGCTTGGAAGCCTGCTGTGGAAAATCAAATATCTTCACAAAAAAAACTACACAGAAGCATTCTGAGAAACTTCTTTGTGATGTGTGCATTGATCTCACAGAGTTGAAAGTTTATTTTGATTGAGCTGTTTTGAAACACTCTTTTTCTAGAATCTGCAAGTGGATAATTGGGGAGATTTGAGGCATATTGTGGAAAAGCAAATATCTTCATATAAAAACTATACAGAAACCTTCTGAGAAACATCTTTGTGATGTGTGCATTCAGCTCACAGAGCTGGACCTAACTTTTGAGTGACCAGTTTTGAATCTCTCTTTTTGTACAATATGCAAGTGGATATTTGGAGCGATTTGAGGCCTACATTTGAAAATCAAATATCTTCCCTTAAAAACTACACAGAAACATTCTCAGAAATTGTTTGTCATGTGTGCTTTCCAATTACCAAGTTGAACCTATCTTGTGATTGAGCAGTTTTGAATCTCTCTTTTTGTGGAATCGGCAAGTGGATATTTTTAGCCCTTTGCGGACTGTGGTGGAAAAGGAATTATCTTCAAATCAATTCTACACAGAAGCATTCAGACAAACTTCTTTGTGATGAGTGCATTGGTCACACAGAATTGAACCTTCCCTTTGATTGAGCAATTCTGAAACACTCTTTTGGAGGGTCTGCAAGTGGACATTTTAGAGCTTTGGGACAACTGTGGAAAAGTAAATATCTTCACATAAAAACTACACGGAAGCATTCTGAGAAACTTCTTTGGAGGTGTGCATTCAACTCACAGAGTTGAACCTATCTTTTCATTGAGCAGTTTTGAATCTCTCATTTTGTAGACTCTGCTCGCAGATATTTGGAGAGCTTTGAGGCCTATTGTGGAAAAGGAAATATCTTCACATAAAAACACACAGAAGCACTCTGAGAAACTTCTCTGTGAGGTGTGCTTTCAACTCACAGAGTTGAACCTATCTTTTGATTGAGAAGTTTTGAATCTCTCTTTTTGTAGAAGCTGCATGTGGATATTTGGAGACGTTTGTGGCCTATGGTAGAAAAGGAAATATCTTCAAATAAAAACTAGACAGACGCATTTTGAGAAAATTCTCTGTGCTGTGTGCATTCATATCACATGGTTGAAACTACCTTTGGATTGAGCAGTTTTGAATCTCACTTTTTGTACCATCTGCAATGGATATTTGGAGCCCTTTCTGGTCTGTGGTGGAAAAGGAACTATCCTCAAATAGAAACTACACAGAAGTACTCTGAGAAACTTCTTTGTGATGTGGGCATTCATCTCACAGAGTTGAACCTTTGGTTTGATTGAGCAGTTTTGAGACAATCTTTCCATAGAATCTGGAAGTGAATATTTGGAGAACTTTGAGATCCATTTTGGAGAAGGAGATATCTTTATATAAAAACTACACAGAAGCATTCTGAGAAACATCCTTGTGAGGTGTGCACTGAAGTCACAGAGTTGAAACTGTCTTTTGATTCAGCAGTTTTGAATCTCTCTTTTTGCAGAATCTGTGAGTGGATATTTGGAGCGCTTTGAGGCCTACTGTGGAAAACCAAATATCTTCACATAAAAACTACACAGAAGCATCCTGAGAAACTTTTTTTGTGATGTGGTCTTTCAGCTAATGGAGTAGAAACTATCTTTTGATTGAGCAGTTTTGAATCTCTCTTTTTGCAGAATCTACGAGTGGATAATTGGAGAACTTTGAGGCGTACTGTGGAAAATCGAATATCTTCGCATAAAAACTACACAGAAGCATTCTGAGAAACTTCTCTGTCATACGTACATTCATCTCACAGGGTTGATCCTATTTCATGATTGAGCAGTTCTGGAACACTCTTTTTGTAGAATCTGCAAGTGAATATTTGAAGCTCTTTGGGGCCTACTGTGGAAAAACAAATATCTTCACATAAAAACTACACAGAAGCATTCTGAGAAACTACTTTGTGATGTGTGCATTCATCCCACAGAGTAGAACCTTTCTTTTGATTGAGCAGTTTCGAAACACTCTTTTGGTGGAATCTGCAAGTGGACATTTGGAAAGCTTTGAGGCCTATTGTGGAAAGGGAAATATCTTCAAATAAAAACCACCCAGAAGTACTCTGTGAAACTTCTTTGCGATGTATGCATTCAACTCACAGTGTTGAAACTATGTTTTGATTGAGCAGTTTGGAATCTCTCTTTCTGTAGAATCTGCAAGTGAATATTTGGAGCCCTATTTCGCCCTATACTGGAAAAGCAATTATCTTCAAATAAAAACTGCACAGAAGCATTCAGAGAAACTTCTTTGAGATGAATGCATTCATGACACAGAGTTGAAACTTTGTTTTGATTTAGGAGTTTTGAGACAATCTTTCCGTAGAATCTTGAAGTGAATATTTGGAGGGCTTGGAGTTCTGTTTTAGAGAAGGAGATATCTTCATCAAAAACTACACAGAAGCTTTCTGAGAAACTTCTTTGTGATGTGTGCATTCAACTATCGGAGTTGAACCTATCTTATGATTGAGCAGTTTGGAAACACTCTTTGTAGAGTCTGCAAGTGGATATTTACAGAGATTTGAGGCCTATTGTGGAAAAGGAAGTATCTTCACATAAAAACCACACAGAAGCACTCTGAAAAACATCTTTGGGATGTGTGCATTCAACTAACCGTGTTGAAACAATGTTTTGATTGAGCAGCTTAGAATCTCTCTTTTTGTAGGAAATGCAAGTGGATATTTGGAGCCCCATTTCGCCCTATGGTGGAAAACGAAACATACTCACAAAAAAGCTGCAGAGAAGCATTCTGAGAAACTTCTTTGCGATGTTGGCATTCAACTCACAGAGTCGAATCTATCTTTTGATAGAGCAGTTTTGTATCTCTCTTTTTGCAGAATCTGCAAGTGGATATTTGGAAAGCTTTGAGGCCTATTGTGGAAAGGGAAATATCCTCAAATAAAAACTACCCAGAAGCACTCTGTGAAACTTCTTTGTGATGTGTGCATTCAACTCACAGTGTTGAACCTATGTTTTGATTGAGCAGTTTGGAATCTCTCCTTTTGTAGAATCTGCAAGTGAATATTTGGAGCCCTATTTCGCCCTATACTGGAAAAGCAAATATCTTCAAATAAAAACTACACAGAGGCATTCAGAGAAACTTCTCTGTGATGAGTGCATTCATCACACAGAGTTGAACATTTGTTTAGATTTAGCAGTGTTGAGACAATCTTTCCGTAGAATCTTGAAGTGAATATTTGGAGGGCTTTGAGACCTGCTTTGGAGAAGGAGATATCTTCATATAAAAGCTACACAGAAGCTTTCTGAGAAACACCCTTGTGAGGTGTGCATTGAAGTCACAGAGTTAAACCTATCTTTTGATTCAGCAGATTTGAATCTCTCTTTTTGCAGAATCTGCGAGTGGATATTTGGAGTGCTTGGAAGCCTGCTGTGGAAAATCAAATATCTTCACAAAAAAAACTACACAGAAGCATTCTGAGAAACTTCTTTGTGATGTGTGCATTGATCTCACAGAGTTGAAAGTTTATTTTGATTGAGCTGTTTTGAAACACTCTTTTTCTAGAATCTGCAAGTGGATAATTGGGGAGATTTGAGGCATATTGTGGAAAAGCCAATATCTTCATATAGAAACTATACAGAAACCTTCTGAGAAACATCTTTGTGATGTGTGCATTCAGCTCACAGAGCTGGACCTAACTTTTGAGTGACCAGTTTTGAATCTCTCTTTTTGTACAATATGCAAGTGGATATTTGGAGCGATTTGAGGCCTACATTTGAAAATCAAATATCTTCCCTTAAAAACTACACAGAAACATTCTCAGAAATTGTTTGTCATGTGTGCTTTCCAATTACCAAGTTGAACCTATCTTGTGATTGAGCAGTTTTGAATCTCTCTTTTTGTGGAATCGGCAAGTGGATATTTTTAGCCCTTTGCGGACTGTGGTGGAAAAGGAATTATCTTCAAATCAATTCTACACAGAAGCATTCAGACAAACTTCTTTGTGATGAGTGCATTGGTCACACAGAATTGAACCTTCCCTTTGATTGAGCAATTCTGAAACACTCTTTTGGAGGGTCTGCAAGTGGACATTTTAGAGCTTTGGGACAACTGTGGAAAAGTAAATATCTTCACATAAAAACTGCACGGAAGCATTCTGAGAAACTTCTTTGGAGGTGTGCATTCAACTCACAGAGTTGAACCTATCTTTTCATTGAGCAGTTTTGAATCTCTCATTTTGTAGACTCTGCTCGCAGATATTTGGAGAGCTTTGAGGCCTATTGTGGAAAAGGAAATATCTTCACATAAAAACACACAGAAGCACTCTGAGAAACTTCTTTGTGAGGTGTGCTTTCAACTCACAGAGTTGAACCTATCTTTTGATTGAGAAGTTTTGAATCTCTCTTTTTGTAGAAGCTGCATGTGGATATTTGGAGACGTTTGTGGCCTATGGTAGAAAAGGAAATATCTTCAAATAAAAACTAGACAGACGCATTTTGAGAAAATTCTCTGTGCTGTGTGCATTCATATCACATGGTTGAAACTACCTTTGGATTGAGCAGTTTTGAATCTCACTTTTTGTACCATCTGCAATGGATATTTGGAGCCCTTTCTGGTCTGTGGTGGAAAAGGAACTATCCTCAAATAGAAACTACACAGAAGTACTCTGAGAAACTTCTTTGTGATGTGGGCATTCATCACACAGAGTTGAACCTTTGGTTTGATTGAGCAGTTTTGAGACAATCTTTCCATAGAATCTGGAAGTGAATATTTGGAGAACTTTGAGATCCATTTTGGAGAAGGAGATATCTTTATATGAAAACTACACAGAAGCATTCTGAGAAACATCCTTGTGAGGTGTGCACTGAAGTCACAGAGTTGAAACTGTCTTTTGATTCAGCAGTTTTGAATCTCTCTTTTTGCAGAATCTGTGAGTGGATATTTGGAGCGCTTTGAGGCCTACTGTGGAAAACCAAATATCTTCACATAAAAACTACACAGAAGCATCCTGAGAAACTTTTTTTGTGATGTGGTCTTTCAGCTAATGGAGTAGAAACTATCTTTTGATTGAGCAGTTTTGAATCTCTCTTT
Source organism: Homo sapiens (assembly GCF_000001405.40). NCBI lineage: Eukaryota > Metazoa > Chordata > Mammalia > Primates > Hominidae > Homo > Homo sapiens. The sequence goes on from NC_000015.10 coordinate 17,633,519, forward strand.
TTGCAGGATCTACGAGTGGATAATTGGAGAACTTTGAGGCGTACTGTGGAAAGTCGAATATCTTCGCATAAAAACTACACAGAAGCATTCTGAGAAACTTCTCTGTCATACGTACATTCATCTCACAGGGTTGATCCTATTTCATGATTGAGCAGTTTTGGAACACTCTTTTTGTAGAATCTGCAAGTGAATATTTGGAGCTCTTTGGGGCCTACTGTGGAAAAACAAATATCTTCACATAAAAACTACACAGAAGCATTCTGAGAAACTACTTTGTGATGTGTGCATTCATCCCACAGAGTAGAACCTTTCTTTTGATTGAGCAGTTTCGAAACCCTCTTTTGGTGGAATCTGCAAGTGGACATTTGGAAAGCTTTGAGGCCTATTGTGGAAAGGGAAATATCTTCAAATAAAAACCACCCAGAAGTACTCTGTGAAACTTCTTTGCGATGTATGCATTCAACTCACAGTGTTGAACCTATGTTTTGATTGAGCAGTTTGGAATCTCTCTTTCTGTAGAATCTGCAAGTGAATATTTGGAGCCCTATTTCGCCCTATACTGGAAAAGCAATTATCTTCAAATAAAAACTGCACAGAAGCACTCAGAGAAACTTCTTTGTGATGAATGCATTCATCACACAGAGTTGAACCTTTGTTTTGATTTAGCAGTTTGAGACAATCTTTCCGTAGAATCTTGAAGTGAATATTTGGAGGGCTTGGAGTTCTGTTTTAGAGAAGAAGATATCTTCATCAAAAACTACACAGAAGCTTTCTGAGAAACTTCTTTGTGATGTGTGCATTCAACTATCGGAGTTGAACCTATCTTATGATTGAGGAGTTTGGAAACACTCTTTGTAGAGTCTGCAAGTGGATATTTACAGAGATTTGAGGCCTATTGTGGAAAAGGAAGTATCTTCACATAAAAACCACACAGAAGCACTCTGAAAATCATCTTTGGGATGTGTGCATTCAACTAACCGTGTTGAAACAATGTTTTGATTGAGCAGCTTAGAATCTCTCTTTTTGTAGGAAATGCAAGTGGATATTTGGAGCCCCATTTCGCCCTATGGTGGAAAACGAAACATACTCACAAAAAAGCTGCAGAGAAGCATTCTGAGAAACTTCTTTGCGATGTTGGCATTCAACTCACAGAGTCGAATCTATCTTTTGATAGAGCAGTTTTGTATCTCTCTTTTTGCAGAATCTGCAAGTGGATATTTGGAAAGCTTTGAGGCCTATTGTGGAAAGGGAAATATCCTCAAATAAAAACTACCCAGAAGCACTCTGTGAAACTTCTTTGTGATGTGTGCATTCAACTCACAGTGTTGAACCTATGTTTTGATTGAGCAGTTTGGAATCTCTCCTTTTGTAGAATCTGCAAGTGAATATTTGGAGCCCTATTTCGCCCTATACTGGAAAAGCAAATATCTTCAAATAAAAACTACACAGAGGCATTCAGAGAAACTACTCTGTGATGAGTGCATTCATCACACAGAGTTGAACATTTGTTTAGATTTAGCAGTGTTGAGACAATCTTTCCGTAGAATCTTGAAGTGAATATTTGGAGGGCTTTGAGACCTGCTTTGGAGAAGGAGATATCTTCATATAAAAACTACACAGAAGCTTTCTGAGAAACACCCTTGTGAGGTGTGCATTGAAGTCACAGAGTTAAACCTATCTTTTGATTCAGCAGATTTGAATCTCTCTTTTTGCAGAATCTGCGAGTGGATATTTGGAGTGCTTGGAAGCCTGCTGTGGAAAATCAAATATCTTCACAAAAAAAACTACACAGAAGCATTCTGAGAAACTTCTTTGTGATGTGTGCATTGATCTCACAGAGTTGAAAGTTTATTTTGATTGAGCTGTTTTGAAACACTCTTTTTCTAGAATCTGCAAGTGGATAATTGGGGAGATTTGAGGCATATTGTGGAAAAGCAAATATCTTCATATAAAAACTATACAGAAACCTTCTGAGAAACATCTTTGTGATGTGTGCATTCAGCTCACAGAGCTGGACCTAACTTTTGAGTGACCAGTTTTGAATCTCTCTTTTTGTACAATATGCAAGTGGATATTTGGAGCGATTTGAGGCCTACATTTGAAAATCAAATATCTTCCCTTAAAAACTACACAGAAACATTCTCAGAAATTGTTTGTCATGTGTGCTTTCCAATTACCAAGTTGAACCTATCTTGTGATTGAGCAGTTTTGAATCTCTCTTTTTGTGGAATCGGCAAGTGGATATTTTTAGCCCTTTGCGGACTGTGGTGGAAAAGGAATTATCTTCAAATCAATTCTACACAGGAAAGCATTCAGACAAACTTCTTTGTGATGAGTGCATTGGTCACACAGAATTGAACCTTCCCTTTGATTGAGCAATTCTGAAACACTCTTTTGGAGGGTCTGCAAGTGGATATTTTAGAGCTTTGGGACAACTGTGGAAAAGTAAATATCTTCACATAAAAACTACACGGAAGCATTCTGAGAAACTTCTTTGGAGGTGTGCATTCAACTCACAGAGTTGAACCTATCTTTTCATTGAGCAGTTTTGAATCTCTCATTTTGTAGACTCTGCTCGCAGATATTTGGAGAGCTTTGAGGCCTATTGTGGAAAAGGAAATATCTTCACATAAAAACACACAGAAGCACTCTGAGAAACTTCTTTGTGAGGTGTGCTTTCAACTCACAGAGTTGAACCTATCTTTTGATTGAGAAGTTTTGAATCTCTCTTTTTGTAGAAGCTGCATGTGGATATTTGGAGACGTTTGTGGCCTATGGTAGAAAAGGAAATATCTTCAAATAAAAACTAGACAGACGCATTTTGAGAAAATTCTCTGTGCTGTGTGCATTCATATCACATGGTTGAAACTACCTTTGGATTGAGCAGTTTTGAATCTCACTTTTTGTACCATCTGCAATGGATATTTGGAGCCCTTTCTGGTCTGTGGTGGAAAAGGAACTATCCTCAAATAGAAACTACACAGAAGTACTCTGAGAAACTTCTTTGTGATGTGGGCATTCATCTCACAGAGTTGAACCTTTGGTTTGATTGAGCAGTTTTGAGACAATCTTTCCATAGAATCTGGAAGTGAATATTTGGAGAACTTTGAGATCCATTTTGGAGAAGGAGATATCTTTATATGAAAACTACACAGAAGCATTCTGAGAAACATCCTTGTGAGGTGTGCACTGAAGTCACAGAGTTGAAACTGTCTTTTGATTCAGCAGTTTTGAATCTCTCTTTTTGCAGAGTCTGTGAGCGGATATTTGGAGCGCTTTGAGGCCTACTGTGGAAAACCAAATATGTTCACATAAAAACTACACAGAAGCATCCTGAGAAACTTTTTTTGTGATGTGGTCTTTCAGCTAATGGAGTAGAAACTATCTTTTGATTGAGCAGTTTTGAATCTCTCTTTTTGCAGAATCTACGAGTGGATAATTGGAGAACTTTGAGGCGTACTGTGGAAAATCGAATATCTTCGCATAAAAACTACACAGAAGCATTCTGAGAAACTTCTCTGTCATACGTACATTCATCTCACAGGGTTGATCCTATTTCATGATTGAGCAGTTTTGGAACACTCTTTTTGTAGAATCTGCAAGTGAATATTTGGAGCTCTTTGGGGCCTACTGTGGAAAAACAAATATCTTCACATAAAAACTACACAGAAGCATTCTGAGAAACTACTTTGTGATGTGTGCATTCATCCCACAGAATAGAACCTTTCTTTTGATTGAGCAGTTTCGAAACACGCTTTTGGTGGAATCTGCAAGTGGACATTTGGAAAGCTTTGAGGCCTATTGTGGAAAGGGAGATATCTTCAAATAAAAACCACCCAGAAGTACTCTGTGAATCTTCTTTGCGATGTATGCATTCAACTCACAGTGTTGAACCTATGTTTTGATTGAGCAGTTTGGAATCTCTCTTTCTGTAGAATCTGCAAGTGAATATTTGGAGCCCTATTTCGCCCTATACTGGAAAAGCAATTATCTTCAAATAAAAACTGCACAGAAGCATTCAGAGAAAGTTCTTTGAGATGAATGCATTCATGACACAGAGTTGAAACTTTGTTTTGATTTAGGAGTTTTGAGACAATCTTTCCGTAGAATCTTGAAGTGAATATTTGGAGGGCTTGGAGTTCTGTTTTAGAGAAGGAGATATCTTCATCAAAAACTACACAGAAGCTTTCTGAGAAACTTCTTTGTGATGTGTGCATTCAACTATCGGAGTTGAACCTATCTTATGATTGAGGAGTTTGGAAACACTCTTTGTAGAGTCTGCAAGTGGATATTTACAGAGATTTGAGGCCTATTGTGGAAAAGGAAGTATCTTCACATAAAAACCACACAGAAGCACTCTGAAAAACATCTTTGGGATGTGTGCATTCAACTAACCGTGTTGAAACAATGTTTTGATTGAGCAGCTTAGAATCTCTCTTTTTGTAGGAAATGCAAGTGGATATTTGGAGCCCCATTTCGCCCTATGGTGGAAAACGAAACATACTCACAAAAAAGCTGCAGAGAAGCATTCTGAGAAACTTCTTTGCGATGTTGGCATTCAACTCACAGAGTCGAATCTATCTTTTGATAGAGCAGTTTTGTATCTCTCTTTTTGCAGAATCTGCAAGTGGATATTTGGAAAGCTTTGAGGCCTATTGTGGAAAGGGAAATATCCTCAAATAAAAACTACCCAGAAGCACTCTGTGAAACTTCTTTGTGATGTGTGCATTCAACTCACAGTGTTGAAACTATGTTTTGATTGAGCAGTTTGGAATCTCTCCTTTTGTAGAATCTGCAAGTGAATATTTGGAGCCCTATTTCGCCCTATACTGGAAAAGCAAATATCTTCAAATAAAAACTACACAGAGGCCTTCAGAGAAACTTCTCTGTGATGAGTGCATTCATCACACAGAGTTGAACATTTGTTTAGATTTAGCAGTGTTGAGACAATCTTTCCGTAGAATCTTGAAGTGAATATTTGGAGGGCTTTGAGACCTGCTTTGGAGAAGGAGATATCTTCATATAAAAACTACACAGAAGCTTTCTGAGAAACACCCTTGTGAGGTGTGCATTGAAGTCACAGAGTTAAACCTATCTTTTGATTCAGCAGATTTGAATCTCTCTTTTTGCAGAATCTGCGAGTGGATATTTGGAGTGCTTGGAAGCCTGCTGTGGAAAATCAAATATCTTCACAAAAAAACTACACAGAAGCATTCTGAGAAACTTCTTTGTGATGTGTGCATTGATCTCACAGAGTTGAAAGTTTATTTTGATTGAGCTGTTTTGAAACACTCTTTTTCTAGAATCTGCAAGTGGATAATTGGGGAGATTTGAGGCATATTGTGGAAAAGCAAATATCTTCATATAAAAACTATACAGAAACCTTCTGAGAAACATCTTTGTGATGTGTGCATTCAGCTCACAGAGCTGGACCTAACTTTTGAGTGACCAGTTTTGAATCTCTCTTTTTGTACAATATGCAAATGGATATTTGGAGCGATTTGAGGCCTACATTTGAAAATCAAATATCTTCCCTTAAAAACTACACAGAAACATTCTCAGAAATTGTTTGTCATGTGTGCTTTCCAATTACCAAGTTGAACCTATCTTGTGATTGAGCAGTTTTGAATCTCTCTTTTTGTGGAATCGGCAAGTGGATATTTTTAGCCCTTTGCGGACTGTGGTGGAAAAGGAATTATCTTCAAATCAATTCTACACAGAAGCATTCAGACAAACTTCTTTGTGATGAGTGCATTGGTCACACAGAATTGAACCTTCCCTTTGATTGAGCAATTCTGAAACACTCTTTTGGAGGGTCTGCAAGTGGATATTTTAGAGCTTTGGGACAACTGTGGAAAAGTAAATATCTTCACATAAAAACTACACGGAAGCATTCTGAGAAACTTCTTTGGAGGTGTGCATTCAACTCACAGAGTTGAACCTATCTTTTCATTGAGCAGTTTTGAATCTCTCATTTTGTAGACTCTGCTCGCAGATATTTGGAGAGCTTTGAGGCCTATTGTGGAAAAGGAAATATCTTCACATAAAAACACACAGAAGCACTCTGAGAAACTTCTTTGTGAGGTGTGCTTTCAACTCACAGAGTTGAACCTATCTTTTGATTGAGAAGTTTTGAATCTCTCTTTTTGTAGAAGCTGCATGTGGATATTTGGAGACGTTTGTGGCCTATGGTAGAAAAGGAAATATCTTCAAATAAAAACTAGACAGACGCATTTTGAGAAAATTCTCTGTGCTGTGTGCATTCATATCACATGGTTGAAACTACCTTTGGATTGAGCAGTTTTGAATCTCACTTTTTGTACCATCTGCAATGGATATTTGGAGCCCTTTCTGGTCTGTGGTGGAAAAGGAACTATCCTCAAATAGAAACTACACAGAAGTACTCTGAGAAACTTCTTTGTGATGTGGGCATTCATCTCACAGAGTTGAACCTTTGGTTTGATTGAGCAGTTTTGAGACAATCTTTCCATAGAATCTGGAAGTGAATATTTGGAGAACTTTGAGATCCATTTTGGAGAAGGAGATATCTTTATATAAAAACTACACAGAAGCATTCTGAGAAACATCCTTGTGAGGTGTGCACTGAAGTCACAGAGTTGAAACTGTCTTTTGATTCAGCAGTTTTGAATCTCTCTTTTTGCAGAATCTGTGAGTGGATATTTGGAGCGCTTTGAGGCCTACTGTGGAAAACCAAATATCTTCACATAAAAACTACACAGAAGCATCCTGAGAAACTTTTTTTGTGATGTGGTCTTTCAGCTAATGGAGTAGAAACTATCTTTTGATTGAGCAGTTTTGAATCTCTCTTTTTGCAGGATCTACGAGTGGCTAATTGGAGAACTTTGAGGCGTACTGTGGAAAGTCGAATATCTTCGCATAAAAACTACACAGAAGCATTCTGAGAAACTTCTCTGTCATACGTACATTCATCTCACAGGGTTGATCCTATTTCATGATGGAGCAGTTTTGGAACACTCTTTTTGTAGAATCTGCAAGTGAATATTTGGAGCTCTTTGGGGCCTACTGTGGAAAAACAAATATCTTCACATAAAAACTACACAGAAGCATTCTGAGAAACTACTTTGTGATGTGTGCATTCATCCCACAGAGTAGAACCTTTCTTTTGATTGAGCAGTTTCGAAACACTCTTTTGGTGGAATCTGCAAGTGGACATTTGGAAAGCTTTGAGGCCTATTGTGGAAAGGGAAATATCTTCAAATAAAAACCACCCAGAAAGTACTCTGTGAAACTTCTTTGCGATGTATGCATTCAACTCACAGTGTTGAACCTATGTTTTGATTGAGCAGTTTGGAATCTCTCTTTCTGTAGAATCTGCAAGTGAATATTTGGAGCCCTATTTCGCCCTATACTGGAAAAGCAATTATCTTCAAATAAAAACTGCACAGAAGCATTCAGAGAAAGTTCTTTGAGATGAATGCATTCATGACACAGAGTTGAAACTTTGTTTTGATTTAGGAGTTTTGAGACAATCTTTCCGTAGAATCTTGAAGTGAATATTTGGAGGGCTTGGAGTTCTGTTTTAGAGAAGGAGATATCTTCATCAAAAACTACACAGAAGCTTTCTGAGAAACTTCTTTGTGATGTGTGCATTCAACTATCGGAGTTGAACCTATCTTATGATTGAGCAGTTTGGAAACACTCTTTGTAGAGTCTGCAAGTGGATATTTACAGAGATTTGAGGCCTATTGTGGAAAAGGAAGTATCTTCACATAAAAACCACACAGAAGCACTCTGAAAAACATCTTTGGGATGTGTGCATTCAACTAACCGTGTTGAAACAATGTTTTGATTGAGCAGCTTAGAATCTCTCTTTTTGTAGGAAATGCAAGTGGATATTTGGAGCCCCATTTCGCCCTATGGTGGAAAACGAAACATACTCACAAAAAAGCTGCAGAGAAGCATTCTGAGAAACTTCTTTGCGATGTTGGCATTCAACTCACAGAGTCGAATCTATCTTTTGATAGAGCAGTTTTGTATCTCTCTTTTTGCAGAATCTGCAAGTGGATATTTGGAAAGCTTTGAGGCCTATTGTGGAAAGGGAAATATCCTCAAATAAAAACTACCCAGAAGCACTCTGTGAAACTTCTTTGTGATGTGTGCATTCAACTCACAGTGTTGAACCTATGTTTTGATTGAGCAGTTTGGAATCTCTCCTTTTGTAGAATCTGCAAGTGAATATTTGGAGCCCTATTTCGCCCTATACTGGAAAAGCAAATATCTTCAAATAAAAACTACACAGAGGCCTTCAGAGAAACTTCTCTGTGATGAGTGCATTCATCACACAGAGTTGAACATTTGTTTAGATTTAGCAGTGTTGAGACAATCTTTCCGTAGAATCTTGAAGTGAATATTTGGAGGGCTTTGAGACCTGCTTTGGAGAAGGAGATATCTTCATATAAAAACTACACAGAAGCTTTCTGAGAAACACCCTTGTGAGGTGTGCATTGAAGTCACAGAGTTAAACCTATCTTTTGATTCAGCAGATTTGAATCTCTCTTTTTGCAGAATCTGCGAGTGGATATTTGGAGTGCTTGGAAGCCTGCTGTGGAAAATCAAATATCTTCACAAAAAAAACTACACAGAAGCATTCTGAGAAACTTCTTTGTGATGTGTGCATTGATCTCACAGAGTTGAAAGTTTATTTGTATTGAGCTGTTTTGAAACACTCTTTTTCTAGAATCTGCAAGTGGATAATTGGGGAGATTTGAGGCATATTGTGGAAAAGCAAATATCTTCATATAGAAACTATACAGAAACCTTCTGAGAAACATCTTTGTGATGTGTGCATTCAGCTCACAGAGCTGGACCTAACTTTTGAGTGACCAGTTTTGAATCTCTCTTTTTGTACAATATGCAAGTGGATATTTGGAGCGATTTGAGGCCTACATTTGAAAATCAAATATCTTCCCTTAAAAACTACACAGAAACATTCTCAGAAATTGTTTGTCATGTGTGCTTTCCAATTACCAAGTTGAACCTATCTTGTGATTGAGCAGTTTTGAATCTCTCTTTTTGTGGAATCGGCAAGTGGATATTTTTAGCCCTTTGCGGACTGTGGTGGAAAAGGAATTATCTTCAAATCAATTCTACACAGAAGCATTCAGACAAACTTCTTTGTGATGAGTGCATTGGTCACACAGAATTGAACCTTCCCTTTGATTGAGCAATTCTGAAACACTCTTTTGGAGGGTCTGCAAGTGGATATTTTAGAGCTTTGGGACAACTGTGGAAAAGTAAATATCTTCACATAAAAACTACACGGAAGCATTCTGAGAAACTTCTTTGGAGGTGTGCATTCAACTCACAAGAGTTGAACCTATCTTTTCATTGAGCAGTTTTGAATCTCTCATTTTGTAGACTCTGCTCGCAGATATTTGGAGAGCTTTGAGGCCTATTGTGGAAAAGGAAATATCTTCACATAAAAACACACAGAAGCACTCTGAGAAATTTCTTTGTGAGGTGTGCTTTCAACTCACAGATTTGAACCTATCTTTTGATTGAGAAGTTTTGAATCTCTCTTTTTGTAGAAGCTGCATGTGGATATTTGGAAACGTTTGTGGCCTATGGTAGAAAAGGAAATATCTTCAAATAAAAACTAGACAGACGCATTTTGAGAAAATTCTCTGTGCTGTGTGCATTCATATCACATGGTTGAAACTACCTTTGGATTGAGCAGTTTTGAATCTCACTTTTTGTACCATCTGCAATGGATATTTGGAGCCCTTTCTGGTCTGTGGTGGAAAAGGAACTATCCTCAAATAGAAACTACACAGAAGTACTCTGAGAAACTTCTTTGTGATGTGGGCATTCATCTCACAGAGTTGAACCTTTGGTTTGATTGAGCAGTTTTGAGACAATCTTTCCATAGAATCTGGAAGTGAATATTTGGAGAACTTTGAGATCCATTTTGGAGAAGGAGATATCTTTATATGAAAACTACACAGAGCATTCTGAGAAACATCCTTGTGAGGTGTGCACTGAAGTCACAGAGTTGAAACTGTCTTTTGATTCAGCAGTTTTGAATCTCTCTTTTTGCAGAATCTGTGAGTGGATATTTGGAGCGCTTTGAGGCCTACTGTGGAAAACCAAATATCTTCACATAAAAACTACACAGAAGCATCCTGAGAAACTTTTTTTGTGATGTGGTCTTTCAGCTAATGGAGTAGAAACTATCTTTTGATTGAGCAGTTTTGAATCTCTCTTTTTGCAGGATCTACGAGTGGATAATTGGAGAACTTTGAGGCGTACTGTGGAAAATCGAATATCTTCGCATAAAAACTACACAGAAGCATTCTGAGAAACTTCTCTGTCATACGTACATTCATCTCACAGGGTTGATCCTATTTCATGATTGAGCAGTTTTGGAACACTCTTTTTGTAGAATCTGCAAGTGAATATTTGGAGCTCTTTGGGGCCTACTGTGGAAAGACAAATATCTTCACATAAAAACTACACAGAAGCATTCTGAGAAACTACTTTGTGATGTGTGCATTCATCCCACAGAGTAGAACCTTTCTTTTGATTGAGCAGTTTCGAAACACTCTTTTGGTGGAATCTGCAAGTGGACATTTGGAAAGCTTTGAGGCCTATTGTGGAAAGGGAAATATCTTCAAATAAAAACCACCCAGAAGTACTCTGTGAAACTTCTTTGCGATGTATGCATTCAACTCACAGTGTTGAACCTATGTTTTGATTGAGCAGTTTGGAATCTCTCTTTCTGTAGAATCTGCAAGTGAATATTTGGAGCCCTATTTCGCCCTATACTGGAAAAGCAATTATCTTCAAATAAAAACTGCACAGAAGCATTCAGAGAAACTTCTTTGAGATGAATGCATTCATGACACAGAGTTGAAACTTTGTTTTGATTTAGGAGTTTTGAGACAATCTTTCCGTAGAATCTTGAAGTGAATATTTGGAGGGCTTGGAGTTCTGTTTTAGAGAAGGAGATATCTTCATCAAAAACTACACAGAAGCTTTCCGAGAAACTTCTTTGTGATGTGTGCATTCAACTATCGGAGTTGAACCTATCTTATGATTGAGCAGTGTGGAAACACTCATTGTAGAGTCTGCAAGTGGATATTTACAGAGATTTGAGGCCTATTGTGGAAAAGGAAGTATCTTCACATAAAAACCACACAGAAGCACTCTGAAAAACATCTTTGGGATGTGTGCATTCAACTAACCGTGTTGAAACAATGTTTTGATTGAGCAGCTTAGAATCTCTCTTTTTGTAGGAAATGCAAGTGGATATTTGGAGCCCCATTTCGCCCTATGGTGGAAAACGAAACATACTCACAAAAAAGCTGCAGAGAAGCATTCTGAGAAACTTCTTTGCGATGTTGGCATTCAACTCACAGAGTCGAATCTATCTTTTGATAGAGCAGTTTTGTATCTCTCTTTTTGCAGAATCTGCAAGTGGATATTTGGAAAGCTTTGAGGCCTATTGTGGAAAGGGAAATATCCTCAAATAAAAACTACCCAGAAGCACTCTGTGAAACTTCTTTGTGATGTGTGCATTCAACTCACAGTGTTGAACCTATGTTTTGATTGAGCAGTTTGGAATCTCTCCTTTTGTAGAATCTGCAAGTGAATATTTGGAGCCCTATTTCGCCCTATACTGGAAAAGCAAATATCTTCAAATAAAAACTACACAGGGCATTCAGAGAAACTTCTCTGAGTATGAGTGCATTCATCACACAGAGTTGAACATTTGTTTAGATTTAGCAGTGTTGAGACAATCTTTCCGTAGAATCTTGAAGTGAATATTTGGAGGGCTTTGAGACCTGCTTTGGAGAAGGAGATATCTTCATATAAAAACTACACAGAAGCTTTCTGAGAAACACCCTTGTGAGGTGTGCATTGAAGTCACAGAGTTAAACCTATCTTTTGATTCAGCAGATTTGAATCTCTCTTTTTGCAGAATCTGCGAGTGGATATTTGGAGTGCTTGGAAGCCTGCTGTGGAAAATCAAATATCTTCACAAAAAAAACTACACAGAAGCATTCTGAGAAACTTCTTTGTGATGTGTGCATTGATCTCACAGAGTTGAAAGTTTATTTGGATTGAGCTGTTTTGAAACACTCTTTTTCTAGAATCTGCAAGTGGATAATTGGGGAGATTTGAGGCATATTGTGGAAAAGCAAATATCTTCATATAGAAACTATACAGAAACCTTCTGAGAAACATCTTTGTGATGTGTGCATTCAGCTCACAGAGCTGGACCTAACTTTTGAGTGACCAGTTTTGAATCTCTCTTTCTGTACAATATGCAAGTGGATATTTGGAGCGATTTGAGGCCTACATTTGAAAATCAAATATCTTCCCTTAAAAACTACACAGAAACATTCTCAGAAATTGTTTGTCATGTGTGCTTTCCAATTACCAAGTTGAACCTATCTTGTGATTGAGCAGTTTTGAATCTCTCTTTTTGTGGAATCGGCAAGTGGATATTTTTAGCCCTTTGCGGACTGTGGTGGAAAAGGAATTATCTTCAAATCAATTCTACACAGAAGCATTCAGACAAACTTCTTTGTGATGAGTGCATTGGTCACACAGAATTGAACCTTCCCTTTGATTGAGCAATTCTGAAACACTCTTTTGGAGGGTCTGCAAGTGGATATTTTAGAGCTTTGGGACAACTGTGGAAAAGTAAATATCTTCACATAAAAACTACACGGAAGCATTCTGAGAAACTTCTTTGGAGGTGTGCATTCAACTCACAGAGTTGAACCTATCTTTTCATTGAGCAGTTTTGAATCTCTCATTTTGTAGACTCTGCTCGCAGATATTTGGAGAGCTTTGAGGCCTATTGTGGAAAAGGAAATATCTTCACATAAAAACACACAGAAGCACTCTGAGAAACTTCTTTGTGAGGTGTGCTTTCAACTCACAGAGTTGAACCTATCTTTTGATTGAGAAGTTTTGAATCTCTCTTTTTGTAGAAGCTGCATGTGGATATTTGGAGACGTTTGTGGCCTATGGTAGAAAAGGAAATATCTTCAAATAAAAACTAGACAGACGCATTTTGAGAAAATTCTCTGTGCTGTGTGCATTCATATCACATGGTTGAAACTACCTTTGGATTGAGCAGTTTTGAATCTCACTTTTTGTACCATCTGCAATGGATATTTGGAGCCCTTTCTGGTCTGTGGTGGAAAAGGAACTATCCTCAAATAGAAACTACACAGAAGTACTCTGAGAAACTTCTTTGTGATGTGGGCATTCATCTCACAGAGTTGAACCTTTGGTTTGATTGAGCAGTTTTGAGACAATCTTTCCATAGAATCTGGAAGTGAATATTTGGAGAACTTTGAGATCCATTTTGGAGAAGGAGATATCTTTATATGAAAACTACACAGAAGCATTCTGAGAAATATCCTTGTGAGGTGTGCACTGAAGTCACAGAGTTGAAACTGTCTTTTGATTCAGCAGTTTTGAATCTCTCTTTTTGCAGAATCTGTGAGTGGATATTTGGAGCGCTTTGAGGCCTACTGTGGAAAACCAAATATCTTCACATAAAAACTACACAGAAGCATCCTGAGAAACTTTTTTTGTGATGTGGTCTTTCAGCTAATGGAGTAGAAACTATCTTTTGATTGAGCAGTTTTGAATCTCTCTTTTTGCAGAATCTACGAGTGGATAATTGGAGAACTTTGAGGCGTACTGTGGAAAATCGAATATCTTCGCATAAAAACTACACAGAAGCATTCTGAGAAACTTCTCTGTCATACGTACATTCATCTCACAGGGTTGATCCTATTTCATGATTGAGCAGTTTTGGAACACTCTTTTTGTAGAATCTGCAAGTGAATATTTGGAGCTCCTTGGGGCCTACTGTGGAAAAACAAATATCTTCACATAAAAACTACACAGAAGCATTCTGAGAAACTACTTTGTGATGTGTGCATTCATCCCACAGAGTAGAACCTTTCTTTTGATTGAGCAGTTTCGAAACACTCTTTTGGTGGAATCTGCAAGTGGACATTTGGAAAGCTTTGAGGCCTAGTGTGGAAAGGGAAATATCTTCAAATAAAAACCACCCAGAAGTACTCTGTGAAACTTCTTTGCGATGTATGCATTCAACTCACAGTGTTGAACCTATGTTTTGATTGAGCAGTTTGGAATCTCTCTTTCTGTAGAATCTGCAAGTGAATATTTGGAGCCCTATTTCGCCCTATACTGGAAAAGCAATTATCTTCAAATAAAAACTGCACAGAAGCATTCAGAGAAAGTTCTTTGAGATGAATGCATTCATGACACAGAGTTGAAACTTTGTTTTGATTTAGGAGTTTTGAGACAATCTTTCCGTAGAATCTTGAAGTGAATATTTGGAGGGCTTGGAGTTCTGTTTTAGAGAAGGAGATATCTTCATCAAAAACTACACAGAAGCTTTCTGAGAAACTTCTTTGTGATGTGTGCATTCAACTATCGGAGTTGAACCTATCTTATGATTGAGCAGTTTGGAAACACTCTTTGTAGAGTCTGCAAGTGGATATTTACAGAGATTTGAGGCCTATTGTGGAAAAGGAAGTATCTTCACATAAAAACCACACAGAAGCACTCTGAAAAACATCTTTGGGATGTGTGCATTCAACTAACCGTGTTGAAACAATGTTTTGATTGAGCAGCTTAGAATCTCTCTTTTTGTAGGAAATGCAAGTGGATATTTGGAGCCCCATTTCGCCCTATGGTGGAAAACGAAACATACTCACAAAAAAGCTGCAGAGAAGCATTCTGAGAAACTTCTTTGCGATGTTGGCATTCAACTCACAGAGTCGAATCTATCTTTTGATAGAGCAGTTTTGTATCTCTCTTTTTGCAGAATCTGCAAGTGGATATTTGGAAAGCTTTGAGGCCTATTGTGGAAAGGGAAATATCCTCAAATAAAAACTACCCAGAAGCACTCTGTGAAACTTCTTGTGATGTGTGCATTCAACTCACAGTGTTGAACCTATGTTTTGATTGAGCAGTTTGGAATCTCTCCTTTTGTAGAATCTGCAAGTGAATATTTGGAGCCCTATTTCGCCCTATACTGGAAAAGCAAATATCTTCAAATAAAAACTACACAGAGGCATTCAGAGAAACTTCTCTGTGATGAGTGCATTCATCACACAGAGTTGAACATTTGTTTAGATTTAGCAGTGTTGAGACAATCTTTCCGTAGAATCTTGAAGTGAATATTTGGAGGGCTTTGAGACCTGCTTTGGAGAAGGAGATATCTTCATATAAAAACTACACAGAAGCTTTCTGAGAAACACCCTTGTGAGGTGTGCATTGAAGTCACAGAGTTAAACCTATCTTTTGATTCAGCAGATTTGAATCTCTCTTTTTGCAGAATCTGCGAGTGGATATTTGGAGTGCTTGGAAGCCTGCTGTGGAAAATCAAATATCTTCACAAAAAAAACTACACAGAAGCATTCTGAGAAACTTCTTTGTGATGTGTGCATTGATCTCACAGAGTTGAAAGTTTATTTTGATTGAGCTGTTTTGAAACACTCTTTTTCTAGAATCTGCAAGTGGATAATTGGGGAGATTTGAGGCATATTGTGGAAAAGCAAATATCTTCATATAGAAACTATACAGAAACCTTCTGAGAAACATCTTTGTGATGTGTGCATTCAGCTCACAGAGCTGGACCTAACTTTTGAGTGACCAGTTTTGAATCTCTCTTTTTGTACAATATGCAAGTGGATATTTGGAGCGATTTGAGGCCTACATTTGAAAATCAAATATCTTCCCTTAAAAACTACACAGAAACATTCTCAGAAATTGTTTGTCATGTGTGCTTTCCAATTACCAAGTTGAACCTATCTTGTGATTGAGCAGTTTTGAATCTCTCTTTTTGTGGAATCGGCAAGTGGATATTTTTAGCCCTTTGCGGACTGTGGTGGAAAAGGAATTATCTTCAAATCAATTCTACACAGAAGCATTCAGACAAACTTCTTTGTGATGAGTGCATTGGTCACACAGAATTGAACCTTCCCTTTGATTGAGCAATTCTGAAACACTCTTTTGGAGGGTCTGCAAGTGGATATTTTAGAGCTTTGGGACAACTGTGGAAAAGTAAATATCTTCACATAAAAACTACACGGAAGCATTCTGAGAAACTTCTTTGGAGGTGTGCATTCAACTCACAGAGTTGAACCTATCTTTTCATTGAGCAGTTTTGAATCTCTCATTTTGTAGACTCTGCTCGCAGATATTTGGAGAGCTTTGAGGCCTATTGTGGAAAAGGAAATATCTTCACATAAAAACACACAGAAGCACTCTGAGAAACTTCTTTGTGAGGTGTGCTTTCAACTCACAGAGTTGAACCTATCTTTTGATTGAGAAGTTTTGAATCTCTCTTTTTGTAGAAGCTGCATGTGGATATTTGGAGACGTTTGTGGCCTATGGTAGAAAAGGAAATATCTTCAAATAAAAACTAGACAGACGCATTTTGAGAAAATTCTCTGTGCTGTGTGCATTCATATCACATGGTTGAAACTACCTTTGGATTGAGCAGTTTTGAATCTCACTTTTTGTACCATCTGCAATGGATATTTGGAGCCCTTTCTGGTCTGTGGTGGAAAAGGAACTATCCTCAAATAGAAACTACACAGAAGTACTCTGAGAAACTTCTTTGTGATGTGGGCATTCATCTCACAGAGTTGAACCTTTGGTTTGATTGAGCAGTTTTGAGACAATCTTTCCATAGAATCTGGAAGTGAATATTCGGAGAACTTTGAGATCCATTTTGGAGAAGGAGATATCTTTATATAAAAACTACACAGAAGCATTCTGAGAAACATCCTTGTGAGGTGTGCACTGAAGTCACAGTAGTTGAAACTGTCTTTTGATTCAGCAGTTTTGAATCTCTCTTTTTGCAGAATCTGTGAGTGGATATTTGGAGCGCTTTGAGGCCTACTGTGGAAAACCAAATATCTTCACATAAAAACTACACAGAAGCATCCTGAGAAACTTTTTTTGTGATGTGGTCTTTCAGCTAATGGAGTAGAAACTATCTTTTGATTGAGCAGTTTTGAATCTCTCTTTTTGCAGAATCTACGAGTGGATATTTGGAGAACTTTGAGGCGTACTGTGGAAAATCGAATATCTTCGCATAAAAACTACACAGAAGCATTCTGAGAAACTTCTCTGTCATACGTACATTCATCTCACAGGGTTGATCCTATTTCATGATTGAGCAGTTTTGGAACACTCTTTTTGTAGAATCTGCAAGTGAATATTTGGAGCTCCTTGGGGCCTACTGTGGAAAAACAAATATCTTCACATAAAAACTACACAGAAGCATTCTGAGAAACTACTTTGTGATGTGTGCATTCATCCCACAGAGTAGAACCTTTCTTTTGATTGAGCAGTTTCGAAACACTCTTTTGGTGGAATCTGCAAGTGGACATTTGGAAAGCTTTGAGGCCTATTGTGGAAAGGGAAATATCTTCAAATAAAAACCACCCAGAAGTACTCTTTGAAACTTCTTTGCGATGTATGCATTCAACTCACAGTGTTGAACCTATGTTTTGATTGAGCAGTTTGGAATCTCTCTTTCTGTAGAATCTGCAAGTGAATATTTGGAGCCCTATTTCGCCCTATACTGGAAAAGCAATTATCTTCAAATAAAAACTGCACAGAAGCATTCAGAGAAACTTCTTTGAGATGAATGCATTCATGACACAGAGTTGAAACTTTGTTTTGATTTAGGAGTTTTGAGACAATCTTTCCGTAGAATCTTGAAGTGAATATTTGGAGGGCTTGGAGTTCTGTTTTAGAGAAGGAGATATCTTCATCAAAAACTACACAGAAGCTTTCTGAGAAACTTCTTTGTGATGTGTGCATTCAACTATCGGAGTTGAACCTATCTTATGATTGAGCAGTTTGGAAACACTCTTTGTAGAGTCTGCAAGTGGATATTTACAGAGATTTGAGGCCTATTGTGGAAAAGGAAGTATCTTCACATAAAAACCACACAGAAGCACTCTGAAAAACATCTTTGGGATGTGTGCATTCAACTAACCGTGTTGAAACAATGTTTTGATTGAGCAGCTTAGAATCTCTCTTTTTGTAGGAAATGCAAGTGGATATTTGGAGCCCCATTTCGCCCTATGGTGGAAAACGAAACATACTCACAAAAAAGCTGCAGAGAAGCATTCTGAGAAACTTCTTTGCGATGTTGGCATTCAACTCACAGAGTCGAATCTATCTTTTGATAGAGCAGTTTTGTATCTCTCTTTTTGCAGAATCTGCAAGTGGATATTTGGAAAGCTTTGAGGCCTATTGTGGAAAGGGAAATATCCTCAAATAAAAACTACCCAGAAGCACTCTGTGAAACTTCTTTGTGATGTGTGCATTCAACTCACAGTGTTGAACCTATGTTTTGATTGAGCAGTTTGGAATCTCTCCTTTTGTAGAATCTGCAAGTGAATATTTGGAGCCCTATTTCGCCCTATACTGGAAAAGCAAATATCTTCAAATAAAAACTACACAGAGGCATTCAGAGAAACTTCTCTGTGATGAGTGCATTCATCACACAGAGTTGAACATTTGTTTAGATTTAGCAGTGTTGAGACAATCTTTCCGTAGAATCTTGAAGTGAATATTTGGAGGGCTTTGAGACCTGCTTTGGAGAAGGAGATATCTTCATATAAAAACTACACAGAAGCTTTCTGAGAAACACCCTTGTGAGGTGTGCATTGAAGTCACAGAGTTAAACCTATCTTTTGATTCAGCAGATTTGAATCTCTCTTTTTGCAGAATCTGCGAGTGGATATTTGGAGTGCTTGGAAGCCTGCTGTGGAAAATCAAATATCTTCACAAAAAAAACTACACAGAAGCATTCTGAGAAACTTCTTTGTGATGTGTGCATTGATCTCACAGAGTTGAAAGTTTATTTTGATTGAGCTGTTTTGAAACACTCTTTTTCTAGAATCTGCAAGTGGATAATTGGGGAGATTTGAGGCATATTGTGGAAAAGCAAATATCTTCATATAGAAACTATACAGAAACCTTCTGAGAAACATCTTTGTGATGTGTGCATTCAGCTCACAGAGCTGGACCTAACTTTTGAGTGACCAGTTTTGAATCTCTCTTTTTGTACAATATGCAAGTGGAGCGATTTGAGGCCTACATTTGAAAATCAAATATCTTCCCTTAAAAACTACACAGAAACATTCTCAGAAATTGTTTGTCATGTGTGCTTTCCAATTACCAAGTTGAACCTATCTTGTGATTGAGCAGTTTTGAATCTCTCTTTTTGTGGAATCGGCAAGTGGATATTTTTAGCCCTTTGCGGACTGTGGTGGAAAAGGAATTATCTTCAAATCAATTCTACACAGAAGCATTCAGACAAACTTCTTTGTGATGAGTGCATTGGTCACACAGAATTGAACCTTCCCTTTGATTGAGCAATTCTGAAACACTCTTTTGGAGGGTCTGCAAGTGGACATTTTAGAGCTTTGGGACAACTGTGGAAAAGTAAATATCTTCACATAAAAACTGCACGGAAGCATTCTGAGAAACTTCTTTGGAGGTGTGCATTCAACTCACAGAGTTGAACCTATCTTTTCATTGAGCAGTTTTGAATCTCTCATTTTGTAGACTCTGCTCGCAGATATTTGGAGAGCTTTGAGGCCTATTGTGGAAAAGGAAATATCTTCACATAAAAACACACAGAAGCACTCTGAGAAACTTCTTTGTGAGGTGTGCTTTCAACTCACAGAGTTGAACCTATCTTTTGATTGAGAAGTTTTGAATCTCTCTTTTTGTAGAAGCTGCATGTGGATATTTGGAGACGTTTGTGGCCTATGGTAGAAAAGGAAATATCTTCAAATAAAAACTAGACAGACGCATTTTGAGAAAATTCTCTGTGCTGTGTGCATTCATATCACATGGTTGAAACTACCTTTGGATTGAGCAGTTTTGAATCTCACTTTTTGTACCATCTGCAATGGATATTTGGAGCCCTTTCTGGTCTGTGGTGGAAAAGGAACTATCCTCAAATAGAAACTACACAGAAGTACTCTGAGAAACTTCTTTGTGATGTGTGCATTCATCTCACAGAGTTGAACCTTTGGTTTGATTGAGCAGTTTTGAGACAATCTTTCCATAGAATCTGGAAGTGAATATTTGGAGAACTTTGAGATCCATTTTGGAGAAGGAGATATCTTTATATAAAAACTACACAGAAGCATTCTGAGAAACATCCTTGTGAGGTGTGCACTGAAGTCACAGAGTTGAAACTGTCTTTTGATTCAGCAGTTTTGAATCTCTCTTTTTGCAGAATCTGTGAGTGGATATTTGGAGCGCTTTGAGGCCTACTGTGGAAAACCAAATATCTTCACATAAAAACTACACAGAAGCATCCTGAGAAACTTTTTTTGTGATGTGGTCTTTCAGCTAATGGAGTAGAAACTATCTTTTGATTGAGCAGTTTTGAATCTCTCTTTTTGCAGGATCTACGAGTGGATAATTGGAGAACTTTGAGGCGTACTGTGGAAAATCGAATATCTTCGCATAAAAACTACACAGAAGCATTCTGAGAAACTTCTCTGTCATACGTACATTCATCTCACAGGGTTGATCCTATTTCATGATTGAGCAGTTTTGGAACACTCTTTTTGTAGAATCTGCAAGTGAATATTTGGAGCTCTTTGGGGCCTACTGTGGAAAAACAAATATCTTCACATAAAAACTACACAGAAGCATTCTGAGAAACTACTTTGTGATGTGTGCATTCATCCCACAGAGTAGAACCTTTCTTTTGATTGAGCAGTTTTGAAACACTCTTTTGGTGGAATCTGCAAGTGGACATTTGGAAAGCTTTGAGGCCTATTGTGGAAAGGGAAATATCTTCAAATAAAAACCACCCAGAAGTACTCTGTGAAACTTCTTTGCGATGTATGCATTCAACTCACAGTGTTGAACCTATGTTTTGATTGAGCAGTTTGGAATCTCTCTTTCTGTAGAATCTGCAAGTGAATATTTGGAGCCCTATTTCGCCCTATACTGGAAAAGCAATTATCTTCAAATAAAAACTGCACAGAAGCATTCAGAGAAACTTCTTTGAGATGAATGCATTCATGACACAGAGTTGAAACTTTGTTTTGATTTAGGAGTTTTGAGACAATCTTTCCGTAGAATCTTGAAGTGAATATTTGGAGGGCTTGGAGTTCTGTTTTAGAGAAGGAGATATCTTCATCAAAAACTACACAGAAGCTTTCTGAGAAACTTCTTTGTGATGTGTGCATTCAACTATCGGAGTTGAACCTATCTTATGATTGAGCAGTTTGGAAACACTCTTTGTAGAGTCTGCAAGTGGATATTTACAGAGATTTGAGGCCTATTGTGGAAAAGGAAGTATCTTCACATAAAAACCACACAGAAGCACTCTGAAAAACATCTTTGGGATGTGTGCATTCAACTAACCGTGTTGAAACAATGTTTTGATTGAGCAGCTTAGAATCTCTCCTTTTGTAGGAAATGCAAGTGGATATTTGGAGCCCCATTTCGCCCTATGGTGGAAAACGAAACATACTCACAAAAAAGCTGCAGAGAAGCATTCTGAGAAACTTCTTTGCGATGTTGGCATTCAACTCACAGAGTCGAATCTATCTTTTGATAGAGCAGTTTTGTATCTCTCTTTTTGCAGAATCTGCAAGTGGATATTTGGAAAGCTTTGAGGCCTATTGTGGAAAGGGAAATATCCTCAAATAAAAACTACCCAGAAGCACTCTGTGAAACTTCTTTGTGATGTGTGCATTCAACTCACAGTGTTGAACCTATGTTTTGATTGAGCAGTTTGGAATCTCTCCTTTTGTAGAATCTGCAAGTGAATATTTGGAGCCCTATTTCGCCCTATACTGGAAAAGCAAATATCTTCAAATAAAAACTACACAGAGGCATTCAGAGAAACTTCTCTGTGATGAGTGCATTCATCACACAGAGTTGAACATTTGTTTAGATTTAGCAGTGTTGAGACAATCTTTCCGTAGAATCTTGAAGTGAATATTTGGAGGGCTTTGAGACCTGCTTTGGAGAAGGAGATATCTTCATATAAAAACTACACAGAAGCTTTCTGAGAAACACCCTTGTGAGGTGTGCATTGAAGTCACAGAGTTAAACCTATCTTTTGATTCAGCAGATTTGAATCTCTCTTTTTGCAGAATCTGCGAGTGGATATTTGGAGTGCTTGGAAGCCTGCTGTGGAAAATCAAATATCTTCACAAAAAAAACTACACAGAAGCATTCTGAGAAACTTCTTTGTGATGTGTGCATTGATCTCACAGAGTTGAAAGTTTATTTTGATTGAGCTGTTTTGAAACACTCTTTTTCTAGAATCTGCAAGTGGATAATTGGGGAGATTTGAGGCATATTGTGGAAAAGCCAATATCTTCATATAAAAACTATACAGAAACCTTCTGAGAAACATCTTTGTGATGTGTGCATTCAGCTCACAGAGCTGGACCTAACTTTTGAGTGACCAGTTTTGAATCTCTCTTTTTGTACAATATGCAAGTGGATATTTGGAGCGATTTGAGGCCTACATTTGAAAATCAAATATCTTCCCTTAAAAACTACACAGAAACATTCTCAGAAATTGTTTGTCATGTGTGCTTTCCAATTACCAAGTTGAACCTATCTTGTGATTGAGCAGTTTTGAATCTCTCTTTTTGTGGAATCGGCAAGTGGATATTTTTAGCCCTTTGCGGACTGTGGTGGAAAAGGAATTATCTTCAAATCAATTCTACACAGAAGCATTCAGACAAACTTCTTTGTGATGAGTGCATTGGTCACACAGAATTGAACCTTCCCTTTGATTGAGCAATTCTGAAACACTCTTTTGGAGGGTCTGCAAGTGGATATTTTAGAGCTTTGGGACAACTGTGGAAAAGTAAATATCTTCACATAAAAACTACACGGAAGCATTCTGAGAAACTTCTTTGGAGGTGTGCATTCAACTCACAGAGTTGAACCTATCTTTTCATTGAGCAGTTTTGAATCTCTCATTTTGTAGACTCTGCTCGCAGATATTTGGAGAGCTTTGAGGCCTATTGTGGAAAAGGAAATATCTTCACATAAAAACACACAGAAGCACTCTGAGAAACTTCTTTGTGAGGTGTGCTTTCAACTCACAGAGTTGAACCTATCTTTTGATTGAGAAGTTTTGAATCTCTCTTTTTGTAGAAGCTGCATGTGGATATTTGGAGACGTTTGTGGCCTATGGTAGAAAAGGAAATATCTTCAAATAAAAACTAGACAGACGCATTTTGAGAAAATTCTCTGTGCTGTGTGCATTCATATCACATGGTTGAAACTACCTTTGGATTGAGCAGTTTTGAATCTCACTTTTTGTACCATCTGCAATGGATATTTGGAGCCCTTTCTGGTCTGTGGTGGAAAAGGAACTATCCTCAAATAGAAACTACACAGAAGTACTCTGAGAAACTTCTTTGTGATGTGGGCATTCATCTCACAGAGTTGAACCTTTGGTTTGATTGAGCAGTTTTGAGACAATCTTTCCATAGAATCTGGAAGTGAATATTTGGAGAACTTTGAGATCCATTTTGGAGAAGGAGATATCTTTATATGAAAACTACACAGAAGCATTCTGAGAAACATCCTTGTGAGGTGTGCACTGAAGTCACAGAGTTGAAACTGTCTTTTGATTCAGCAGTTTTGAATCTCTCTTTTTGCAGAATCTGTGAGTGGATATTTGGAGCGCTTTGAGGCCTACTGTGGAAAACCAAATATCTTCACATAAAAACTACACAGAAGCATCCTGAGAAACTTTTTTTGTGATGTGGTCTTTCAGCTAATGGAGTAGAAACTATCTTTTGATTGAGCAGTTTTGAATCTCTCTTTTTGCAGAATCTACGAGTGGATAATTGGAGAACTTTGAGGCGTACTGTGGAAAATCGAATATCTTCGCATAAAAACTACACAGAAGCATTCTGAGAAACTTCTCTGTCATACGTACATTCATCTCACAGGGTTGATCCTATTTCATGATTGAGCAGTTTTGGAACACTCTTTTTGTAGAATCTGCAAGTGAATATTTGGAGCTCCTTGGGGCCTACTGTGGAAAAACAAATATCTTCACATAAAAACTACACAGAAGCATTCTGAGAAACTACTTTGTGATGTGTGCATTCATCCCACAGAGTAGAACCTTTCTTTTGATTGAGCAGTTTCGAAACACTCTTTTGGTGGAATCTGCAAGTGGACATTTGGAAAGCTTTGAGGCCTATTGTGGAAAGGGAAATATCTTCAAATAAAAACCACCCAGAAGTACTCTGTGAAACTTCTTTGCGATGTATGCATTCAACTCACAGTGTTGAACCTATGTTTTGATTGAGCAGTTTGGAATCTCTCTTTCTGTAGAATCTGCAAGTGAATATCTGGAGCCCTATTTCGCCCTACACTGGAAAAGCAATTATCTTCAAATAAAAACTGCACAGAAGCACTCAGAGAAACTTCTTTGAGATGAATGCATTCATGACACAGAGTTGAAACTTTGTTTTGATTTAGGAGTTTTGAGACAATCTTTCCGTAGAATCTTGAAGTGAATATTTGGAGGGCTTGGAGTTCTGTTTTAGAGAAGAAGATATCTTCATCAAAAACTACACAGAAGCTTTCTGAGAAACTTCTTTGTGATGTGTGCATTCAACTATCGGAGTTGAACCTATCTTATGATTGAGCAGTTTGGAAACACTCTTTGTAGAGTCTGCAAGTGGATATTTACAGAGATTTGAGGCCTATTGTGGAAAAGGAAGTATCTTCACATAAAAACCACACAGAAGCACTCTGAAAAACATCTTTGGGATGTGTGCATTCAACTAACCGTGTTGAAACAATGTTTTGATTGAGCAGCTTAGAATCTCTCTTTTTGTAGGAAATGCAAGTGGATATTTGGAGCCCCATTTCGCCCTATGGTGGAAAACGAAACATACTCACAAAAAAGCTGCAGAGAAGCATTCTGAGAAACTTCTTTGCGATGTTGGCATTCAACTCACAGAGTCGAATCTATCTTTTGATAGAGCAGTTTTGTATCTCTCTTTTTGCAGAATCTGCAAGTGGATATTTGGAAAGCTTTGAGGCCTATTGTGGAAAGGGAAATATCCTCAAATAAAAACTACCCAGAAGCACTCTGTGAAACTTCTTTGTGATGTGTGCATTCAACTCACAGTGTTGAACCTATGTTTTGATTGAGCAGTTTGGAATCTCTCCTTTTGTAGAATCTGCAAGTGAATATTTGGAGCCCTATTTCGCCCTATACTGGAAAAGCAAATATCTTCAAATAAAAACTACACAGAGGCATTCAGAGAAACTTCTCTGTGATGAGTGCATTCATCACACAGAGTTGAACATTTGTTTAGATTTAGCAGTGTTGAGACAATCTTTCCGTAGAATCTTGAAGTGAATATTTGGAGGGCTTTGAGACCTGCTTTGGAGAAGGAGATATCTTCATATAAAAACTACACAGAAGCTTTCTGAGAAACACCCTTGTGAGGTGTGCATTGAAGTCACAGAGTTAAACCTATCTTTTGATTCAGCAGATTTGAATCTCTCTTTTTGCAGAATCTGCGAGTGGATATTTGGAGTGCTTGGAAGCCTGCTGTGGAAAATCAAATATCTTCACAAAAAAAACTACACAGAAGCATTCTGAGAAACTTCTTTGTGATGTGTGCATTGATCTCACAGAGTTGAAAGTTTATTTTGATTGAGCTGTTTTGAAACACTCTTTTTCTAGAATCTGCAAGTGCATAATTGGGGAGATTTGAGGCATATTGTGGAAAAGCAAATATCTTCATATAAAAACTATACAGAAACCTTCTGAGAAACATCTTTGTGATGTGTGCTTTCAGCTCACAGAGCTGGACCTAACTTTTGAGAGACCAGTTTTGAATCTCTCTTTTTGTACAATATGCAAGTGGATATTTGGAGCGATTTGAGGCCTACATTTGAAAATCAAATATCTTCCCTTAAAAACTACACAGAAACATTCTCAGAAATTGTTTGTCATGTGTGCTTTCCAATTACCAAGTTGAACCTATCTTGTGATTGAGCAGTTTTGAATCTCTCTTTTTGTGGAATCGGCAAGTGGATATTTTTAGCCCTTTGCGGACTGTGGTGGAAAAGGAATTATCTTCAAATCAATTCTACACAGAAGCATTCAGACAAACTTCTTTGTGATGAGTGCATTGGTCACACAGAATTGAACCTTCCCTTTGATTGAGCAATTCTGAAACACTCTTTTGGAGGGTCTGCAAGTGGATATTTTAGAGCTTTGGGACAACTGTGGAAAAGTAAATATCTTCACATAAAAACTACACGGAAGCATTCTGAGAAACTTCTTTGGAGGTGTGCATTCAACTCACAGAGTTGAACCTATCTTTTCATTGAGCAGTTTTGAATCTCTCATTTTGTAGACTCTGCTCGCAGATATTTGGAGAGCTTTGAGGCCTATTGTGGAAAAGGAAATATCTTCACATAAAAACACACAGAAGCACTCTGAGAAACTTCTTTGTGAGGTGTGCTTTCAACTCACAGAGTTGAACCTATCTTTTGATTGAGAAGTTTTGAATCTCTCTTTTTGTAGAAGCTGCATGTGGATATTTGGAGACGTTTGTGGCCTATGGTAGAAAAGGAAATATCTTCAAATAAAAACTAGACAGACGCATTTTGAGAAAATTCTCTGTGCTGTGTGCATTCATATCACATGGTTGAAACTACCTTTGGATTGAGCAGTTTTGAATCTCACTTTTTGTACCATCTGCAATGGATATTTGGAGCCCTTTCTGGTCTGTGGTGGAAAAGGAACTATCCTCAAATAGAAACTACACAGAAGTACTCTGAGAAACTTCTTTGTGATGTGGGCATTCATCTCACAGAGTTGAACCTTTGGTTTGATTGAGCAGTTTTGAGACAATCTTTCCATAGAATCTGGAAGTGAATATTTGGAGAACTTTGAGATCCATTTTGGAGAAGGAGATATCTTTATATGAAAACTACACAGAAGCATTCTGAGAAACATCCTTGTGAGGTGTGCACTGAAGTCACAGAGTTGAAACTGTCTTTTGATTCAGCAGTTTTGAATCTCTCTTTTTGCAGAATCTGTGAGTGGATATTTGGAGCGCTTTGAGGCCTACTGTGGAAAACCAAATATCTTCACATAAAAACTACACAGAAGCATCCTGAGAAACTTTTTTTGTGATGTGGTCTTTCAGCTAATGGAGTAGAAACTATCTTTTGATTGAGCAGTTTTGAATCTCTCTTTTTACAGAATCTACGAGTGGATAATTGGAGAACTTTGAGGCGTACTGTGGAAAATCGAATATCTTCGCATAAAAACTACACAGAAGCATTCTGAGAAACTTCTCTGTCATACGTACATTCATCTCACAGGGTTGATCCTATTTCATGATTGAGCAGTTTTGGAACACTCTTTTTGTAGAATCTGCAAGTGAATATTTGGAGCTCCTTGGGGCCTACTGTGGAAAAACAAATATCTTCACATAAAAACTACACAGAAGCATTCTGAGAAACTACTTTGTGATGTGTGCATTCATCCCACAGAGTAGAACCTTTCTTTTGATTGAGCAGTTTCGAAACACTCTTTTGGTGGAATCTGCAAGTGGACATTTGGAAAGCTTTGAGGCCTATTGTGGAAAGGGAAATATCTTCAAATAAAAACCACCCAGAAGTACTCTGTGAAACTTCTTTGCGATGTATGCATTCAACTCACAGTGTTGAACCTATGTTTTGATTGAGCAGTTTGGAATCTCTCTTTCTGTAGAATCTGCAAGTGAATATTTGGAGCCCTATTTCGCCCTATACTGGAAAAGCAATTATCTTCAAATAAAAACTGCACAGAAGCATTCAGAGAAACTTCTTTGAGATGAATGCATTCATGACACAGAGTTGAAACTTTGTTTTGATTTAGGAGTTTTGAGACAATCTTTCCGTAGAATCTTGAAGTGAATATTTGGAGGGCTTGGAGTTCTGTTTTAGAGAAGGAGATATCTTCATCAAAAACTACACAGAAGCTTTCTGAGAAACTTCTTTGTGATGTGTGCATTCAACTATCGGAGTTGAACCTATCTTATGATTGAGCAGTTTGGAAACACTCTTTGTAGAGTCTGCAAGTGGATATTTACAGAGATTTGAGGCCTATTGTGGAAAAGGAAGTATCTTCACATAAAAACCACACAGAAGCACTCTGAAAAACATCTTTGGGATGTGTGCATTCAACTAACCGTGTTGAAACAATGTTTTGATTGAGCAGCTTAGAATCTCTCTTTTTGTAGGAAATGCAAGTGGATATTTGGAGCCCCATTTCGCCCTATGGTGGAAAACGAAACATACTCACAAAAAAGCTGCAGAGAAGCATTCTGAGAAACTTCTTTGCGATGTTGGCATTCAACTCACAGAGTCGAATCTATCTTTTGATAGAGCAGTTTTGTATCTCTCTTTTTGCAGAATCTGCAAGTGGATATTTGGAAAGCTTTGAGGCCTATTGTGGAAAGGGAAATATCCTCAAATAAAAACTACCCAGAAGCACTCTGTGAAACTTCTTTGTGATGTGTGCATTCAACTCACAGTGTTGAACCTATGTTTTGATTGAGCAGTTTGGAATCTCTCCTTTTGTAGAATCTGCAAGTGAATATTTGGAGCCCTATTTCGCCCTATACTGGAAAAGCAAATATCTTCAAATAAAAACTACACAGAGGCATTCAGAGAAACTTCTCTGTGATGAGTGCATTCATCACACAGAGTTGAACATTTGTTTAGATTTAGCAGTGTTGAGACCATCTTTCCGTAGAATCTTGAAGTGAATATTTGGAGGGCTTTGAGACCTGCTTTGGAGAAGGAGATATCTTCATATAAAAACTACACAGAAGCTTTCTGAGAAACACCCTTGTGAGGTGTGCATTGAAGTCACAGAGTTAAACCTATCTTTTGATTCAGCAGATTTGAATCTCTCTTTTTGCAGAATCTGCGAGTGGATATTTGGAGTGCTTGGAAGCCTGCTGTGGAAAATCAAATATCTTCACAAAAAAAACTACACAGAAGCATTCTGAGAAACTTCTTTGTGATGTGTGCATTGATCTCACAGAGTTGAAAGTTTATTTGGATTGAGCTGTTTTGAAACACTCTTTTTCTAGAATCTGCAAGTGGATAATTGGGGAGATTTGAGGCATATTGTGGAAAAGCAAATATCTTCATATAGAAACTATACAGAAAACCTTCTGAGAAACATCTTTGTGATGTGTGCATTCAGCTCACAGAGCTGGACCTAACTTTTGAGTGACCAGTTTTGAATCTCTCTTTTTGTACAATATGCAAGTGGATATTTGGAGCGATTTGAGGCCTACATTTGAAAATCAAATATCTTCCCTTAAAAACTACACAGAAACATTCTCAGAAATTGTTTGTCATGTGTGCTTTCCAATTACCAAGTTGAACCTATCTTGTGATTGAGCAGTTTTGAATCTCTCTTTTTGTGGAATCGGCAAGTGGATATTTTTAGCCCTTTGCGGACTGTGGTGGAAAAGGAATTATCTTCAAATCAATTCTACACAGAAGCATTCAGACAAACTTCTTTGTGATGAGTGCATTGGTCACACAGAATTGAACCTTCCCTTTGATTGAGCAATTCTGAAACACTCTTTTGGAGGGTCTGCAAGTGGACATTTTAGAGCTTTGGGACAACTGTGGAAAAGTAAATATCTTCACATAAAAACTACACGGAAGCATTCTGAGAAACTTCTTTGGAGGTGTGCATTCAACTCACAGAGTTGAACCTATCTTTTCATTGAGCAGTTTTGAATCTCTCATTTTGTAGACTCTGCTCGCAGATATTTGGAGAGCTTTGAGGCCTATTGTGGAAAAGGAAATATCTTCACATAAAAACACACAGAAGCACTCTGAGAAACTTCTCTGTGAGGTGTGCTTTCAACTCACAGAGT
Organism: Homo sapiens; assembly: GCF_000001405.40. NCBI lineage: Eukaryota > Metazoa > Chordata > Mammalia > Primates > Hominidae > Homo > Homo sapiens. Next base: position 17,663,524 of record NC_000015.10, read on the forward strand.
TGAACCTATCTTTTGATTGAGAAGTTTTGAATCTCTCTTTTTGTAGAAGCTGCATGTGGATATTTGGAGACGTTTGTGGCCTATGGTAGAAAAGGAAATATCTTCAAATAAAAACTAGACAGACGCATTTTGAGAAAATTCTCTGTGCTGTGTGCATTCATATCACATGGTTGAAACTACCTTTGGATTGAGCAGTTTTGAATCTCACTTTTTGTACCATCTGCAATGGATATTTGGAGCCCTTTCTGGTCTGTGGTGGAAAAGGAACTATCCTCAAATAGAAACTACACAGAAGTACTCTGAGAAACTTCTTTGTGATGTGGGCATTCATCTCACAGAGTTGAACCTTTGGTTTGATTGAGCAGTTTTGAGACAATCTTTCCATAGAATCTGGAAGTGAATATTTGGAGAACTTTGAGATCCATTTTGGAGAAGGAGATACCTTTATATGAAAACTACACAGAAGCATTCTGAGAAACATCCTTGTGAGGTGTGCACTGAAGTCACAGAGTTGAAACTGTCTTTTGATTCAGCAGTTTTGAATCTCTCTTTTTGCAGAATCTGTGAGTGGATATTTGGAGCGCTTTGAGGCCTACTGTGGAAAACCAAATATCTTCACATAAAAACTACACAGAAGCATCCTGAGAAACTTTTTTTGTGATGTGGTCTTTCAGCTAATGGAGTAGAAACTATCTTTTGATTGAGCAGTTTTGAATCTCTCTTTTTGCAGAATCTACGAGTGGATAATTGGAGAACTTTGAGGCGTACTGTGGAAAATCGAATATCTTCGCATAAAAACTACACAGAAGCATTCTGAGAAACTTCTCTGTCATACGTACATTCATCTCACAGGGTTGATCCTATTTCATGATTGAGCAGTTTTGGAACACTCTTTTTGTAGAATCTGCAAGTGAATATTTGGAGCTCCTTGGGGCCTACTGTGGAAAAACAAATATCTTCACATAAAAACTACACAGAAGCATTCTGAGAAACTACTTTGTGATGTGTGCATTCATCCCACAGAGTAGAACCTTTCTTTTGATTGAGCAGTTTCGAAACACTCTTTTGGTGGAATCTGCAAGTGGACATTTGGAAAGCTTTGAGGCCTATTGTGGAAAGGGAAATATCTTCAAATAAAAACCACCCAGAAGTACTCTGTGAAACTTCTTTGCGATGTATGCATTCAACTCACAGTGTTGAACCTATGTTTTGATTGAGCAGTTTGGAATCTCTCTTTCTGTAGAATCTGCAAGTGAATATTTGGAGCCCTATTTCGCCCTATACTGGAAAAGCAATTATCTTCAAATAAAACTGCACAGAAGCACTCAGAGAAACTTCTTTGTGATGAATGCATTCATCACACAGAGTTGAACCTTTGTTTTGATTTAGCAGTTTGAGACAATCTTTCCGTAGAATCTTGAAGTGAATATTTGGAGGGCTTGGAGTTCTGTTTTAGAGAAGAAGATATCTTCATCAAAAACTACACAGAAGCTTTCTGAGAAACTTCTTTGTGATGTGTGCATTCAACTATCGGAGTTGAACCTATCTTATGATTGAGCAGTTTGAAAACACTCTTTGTAGAGTCTGCAAGTGGATATTTACAGAGATTTGAGGCCTATTGTGGAAAAGGAAGTATCTTCACATAAAAACCACACAGAAGCACTCTGAAAAACGTCTTTGGGATGTGTGCATTCAACTAACCGTGTTGAAACAATGTTTTGATTGAGCAGCTTAGAATCTCTCTTTTTGTAGGAAATGCAAGTGGATATTTGGAGCCCCATTTCGCCCTATGGTGGAAAACGAAACATACTCACAAAAAAGCTGCAGAGAAGCATTCTGAGAAACTTCTTTGCGATGTTGGCATTCAACTCACAGAGTCGAATCTATCTTTTGATAGAGCAGTTTTGTATCTCTCTTTTTGCAGAATCTGCAAGTGGATATTTGGAAAGCTTTGAGGCCTATTGTGGAAAGGGAAATATCCTCAAATAAAAACTACCCAGAAGCACTCTGTGAAACTTCTTTGTGATGTGTGCATTCAACTCACAGTGTTGAACCTATGTTTTGATTGAGCAGTTTGGAATCTCTCCTTTTGTAGAATCTGCAAGTGAATATTTGGAGCCCTATTTCGCCCTATACTGGAAAAGCAAATATCTTCAAATAAAAACTACACAGAGGCATTCAGAGAAACTTCTCTGTGATGAGTGCATTCATCACACAGAGTTGAACATTTGTTTAGATTTAGCAGTGTTGAGACAATCTTTCCGTAGAATCTTGAAGTGAATATTTGGAGGGCTTTGAGACCTGCTTTGGAGAAGGAGATATCTTCATATAAAAACTACACAGAAGCTTTCTGAGAAACACCCTTGTGAGGTGTGCATTGAAGTCACAGAGTTAAACCTATCTTTTGATTCAGCAGATTTGAATCTCTCTTTTTGCAGAATCTGCGAGTGGATATTTGGAGTGCTTGGAAGCCTGCTGTGGAAAATCAAATATCTTCACAAAAAAAACTACACAGAAGCATTCTGAGAAACTTCTTTGTGATGTGTGCATTGATCTCACAGAGTTGAAAGTTTATTTTGATTGAGCTGTTTTGAAACACTCTTTTTCTAGAATCTGCAAGTGGATAATTGGGGAGATTTGAGGCATATTGTGGAAAAGCAAATATCTTCATATAGAAACTATACAGAAACCTTCTGAGAAACATCTTTGTGATGTGTGCATTCAGCTCACAGAGCTGGACCTAACTTTTGAGTGACCAGTTTTGAATCTCTCTTTTTGTACAATATGCAAGTGGATATTTGGAGCGATTTGAGGCCTACATTTGAAAATCAAATATCTTCCCTTAAAAACTACACAGAAACATTCTCAGAAATTGTATGTCATGTGTGCTTTCCAATTACCAAGTTGAACCTATCTTGTGATTGAGCAGTTTTGAATCTCTCTTTTTGTGGAATCGGCAAGTGGATATTTTTAGCCCTTTGCGGACTGTGGTGGAAAAGGAATTATCTTCAAATCAATTCTACACAGAAGCATTCAGACAAACTTCTTTGTGATGAGTGCATTGGTCACACAGAATTGAACCTTCCCTTTGATTGAGCAATTCTGAAACACTCTTTTGGAGGGTCTGCAAGTGGATATTTTAGAGCTTTGGGACAACTGTGGAAAAGTAAATATCTTCACATAAAAACTACACGGAAGCATTCTGAGAAACTTCTTTGGAGGTGTGCATTCAACTCACAGAGTTGAACCTATCTTTTCATTGAGCAGTTTTGAATCTCTCATTTTGTAGACTCTGCTCGCAGATATTTGGAGAGCTTTGAGGCCTATTGTGGAAAAGGAAATATCTTCACATAAAAACACACAGAAGCACTCTGAGAAACTTCTTTGTGAGGTGTGCTTTCAACTCACAGAGTTGAACCTATCTTTTGATTGAGAAGTTTTGAATCTCTCTTTTTGTAGAAGCTGCATGTGGATATTTGGAGACGTTTGTGGCCTATGGTAGAAAAGGAAATATCTTCAAATAAAAACTAGACAGACGCATTTTGAGAAAATTCTCTGTGCTGTGTGCATTCATATCACATGGTTGAAACTACCTTTGGATTGAGCAGTTTTGAATCTCACTTTTTGTACCATCTGCAATGGATATTTGGAGCCCTTTCTGGTCTGTGGTGGAAAAGGAACTATCCTCAAATAGAAACTACACAGAAGTACTCTGAGAAACTTCTTTGTGATGTGGGCATTCATCTCACAGAGTTGAACCTTTGGTTTGATTGAGCAGTTTTGAGACAATCTTTCCATAGAATCTGGAAGTGAATATTTGGAGAACTTTGAGATCCATTTTGGAGAAGGAGATATCTTTATATAAAAACTACACAGAAGCATTCTGAGAAACATCCTTGTGAGGTGTGCACTGAAGTCACAGAGTTGAAACTGTCTTTTGATTCAGCAGTTTTGAATCTCTCTTTTTGCAGAATCTGTGAGTGGATATTTGGAGCGCTTTGAGGCCTACTGTGGAAAACCAAATATCTTCACATAAAAACTACACAGAAGCATCCTGAGAAACTTTTTTTGTGATGTGGTCTTTCAGCTAATGGAGTAGAAACTATCTTTTGATTGAGCAGTTTTGAATCTCTCTTTTTGCAGGATCTACGAGTGGATAATTGGAGAACTTTGAGGCGTACTGTGGAAAGTCGAATATCTTCGCATAAAAACTACACAGAAGCATTCTGAGAAACTTCTCTGTCATACGTACATTCATCTCACAGGGTTGATCCTATTTCATGATGGAGCAGTTTTGGAACACTCTTTTTGTAGAATCTGCAAGTGAATATTTGGAGCTCTTTGGGGCCTACTGTGGAAAAACAAATATCTTCACATAAAAACTACACAGAAGCATTCTGAGAAACTACTTTGTGATGTGTGCATTCATCCCACAGAGTAGAACCTTTCTTTTGATTGAGCAGTTTCGAAACACTCTTTTGGTGGAATCTGCAAGTGGACATTTGGAAAGCTTTGAGGCCTATTGTGGAAAGGGAAATATCTTCAAATAAAAACCACCCAGAAGTACTCTGTGAAACTTCTTTGCGATGTATGCATTCAACTCACAGTGTTGAACCTATGTTTTGATTGAGCAGTTTGGAATCTCTCTTTCTGTAGAATCTGCAAGTGAATATTTGGAGCCCTATTTCGCCCTATACTGGAAAAGCAATTATCTTCAAATAAAAACTGCACAGAAGCATTCAGAGAAACTTCTTTGAGATGAATGCATTCATGACACAGAGTTGAAACTTTGTTTTGATTTAGGAGTTTTGAGACAATCTTTCCGTAGAATCTTGAAGTGAATATTTGGAGGGCTTGGAGTTCTGTTTTAGAGAAGAAGATATCTTCATCAAAAACTACACAGAAGCTTTCTGAGAAACTTCTTTGTGATGTGTGCATTCAACTATCGGAGTTGAACCTATCTTATGATTGAGCAGTTTGGAAACACTCTTTGTAGAGTCTGCAAGTGGATATTTACAGAGATTTGAGGCCTATTGTGGAAAAGGAAGTATCTTCACATAAAAACCACACAGAAGCACTCTGAAAAACATCTTTGGGATGTGTGCATTCAACTAACCGTGTTGAAACAATGTTTTGATTGAGCAGCTTAGAATCTCTCTTTTTGTAGGAAATGCAAGTGGATATTTGGAGCCCCATTTCGCCCTATGGTGGAAAACGAAACATACTCACAAAAAAGCTGCAGAGAAGCATTCTGAGAAACTTCTTTGCGATGTTGGCATTCAACTCACAGAGTCGAATCTATCTTTTGATAGAGCAGTTTTGTATCTCTCTTTTTGCAGAATCTGCAAGTGGATATTTGGAAAGCTTTGAGGCCTATTGTGGAAAGGGAAATATCCTCAAATAAAAACTACCCAGAAGCACTCTGTGAAACTTCTTTGTGATGTGTGCATTCAACTCACAGTGTTGAACCTATGTTTTGATTGAGCAGTTTGGAATCTCTCCTTTTGTAGAATCTGCAAGTGAATATTTGGAGCCCTATTTCGCCCTATACTGGAAAAGCAAATATCTTCAAATAAAAACTACACAGAGGCATTCAGAGAAACTTCTCTGTGATGAGTGCATTCATCACACAGAGTTGAACATTTGTTTAGATTTAGCAGTGTTGAGACAATCTTTCCGTAGAATCTTGAAGTGAATATTTGGAGGGCTTTGAGACCTGCTTTGGAGAAGGAGATATCTTCATATAAAAACTACACAGAAGCTTTCTGAGAAACACCCTTGTGAGGTGTGCATTGAAGTCACAGAGTTAAACCTATCTTTTGATTCAGCAGATTTGAATCTCTCTTTTTGCAGAATCTGCGAGTGGATATTTGGAGTGCTTGGAAGCCTGCTGTGGAAAATCAAATATCTTCACAAAAAAAACTACACAGAAGCATTCTGAGAAACTTCTTTGTGATGTGTGCATTGATCTCACAGAGTTGAAAGTTTATTTTGATTGAGCTGTTTTGAAACACTCTTTTTCTAGAATCTGCAAGTGGATAATTGGGGAGATTTGAGGCATATTGTGGAAAAGCAAATATCTTCATATAAAAACTATACAGAAACCTTCTGAGAAACATCTTTGTGATGTGTGCATTCAGCTCACAGAGCTGGACCTAACTTTTGAGTGACCAGTTTTGAATCTCTCTTTTTGTACAATATGCAAGTGGATATTTGGAGCGATTTGAGGCCTACATTTGAAAATCAAATATCTTCCCTTAAAAACTACACAGAAACATTCTCAGAAATTGTTTGTCATGTGTGCTTTCCAATTACCAAGTTGAACCTATCTTGTGATTGAGCAGTTTTGAATCTCTCTTTTTGTGGAATCGGCAAGTGGATATTTTTAGCCCTTTGCGGACTGTGGTGGAAAAGGAATTATCTTCAAATCAATTCTACACAGAAGCATTCAGACAAACTTCTTTGTGATGAGTGCATTGGTCACACAGAATTGAACCTTCCCTTTGATTGAGCAATTCTGAAACACTCTTTTGGAGGGTCTGCAAGTGGACATTTTAGAGCTTTGGGACAACTGTGGAAAAGTAAATATCTTCACATAAAAACTACACGGAAGCATTCTGAGAAACTTCTTTGGAGGTGTGCATTCAACTCACAGAGTTGAACCTATCTTTTCATTGAGCAGTTTTGAATCTCTCATTTTGTAGACTCTGCTCACAGATATTTGGAGAGCTTTGAGGCCTATTGTGGAAAAGGAAATATCTTCACATAAAAACACACAGAAGCACTCTGAGAAACTTCTCTGTGAGGTGTGCTTTCAACTCACAGAGTTGAACCTATCTTTTGATTGAGAAGTTTTGAATCTCTCTTTTTGTAGAAGCTGCATGTGGATATTTGGAGACGTTTGTGGCCTATGGTAGAAAAGGAAATATCTTCAAATAAAAACTAGACAGACGCATTTTGAGAAAATTCTCTGTGCTGTGTGCATTCATATCACATGGTTGAAACTACCTTTGGATTGAGCAGTTTTGAATCTCACTTTTTGTACCATCTGCAATGGATATTTGGAGCCCTTTCTGGTCTGTGGTGGAAAAGGAACTATCCTCAAATAGAAACTACACAGAAGTACTCTGAGAAACTTCTTTGTGATGTGGGCATTCATCTCACAGAGTTGAACCTTTGGTTTGATTGAGCAGTTTTGAGACAATCTTTCCATAGAATCTGGAAGTGAATATTTGGAGAACTTTGAGATCCATTTTGGAGAAGGAGATATCTTTATATAAAAACTACACAGAAGCATTCTGAGAAACATCCTTGTGAGGTGTGCACTGAAGTCACAGAGTTGAAACTGTCTTTTGATTCAGCAGTTTTGAATCTCTCTTTTTGCAGAATCTGTGAGTGGATATTTGGAGCGCTTTGAGGCCTACTGTGGAAAACCAAATATCTTCACATAAAAACTACACAGAAGCATCCTGAGAAACTTTTTTTGTGATGTGGTCTTTCAGCTAATGGAGTAGAAACTATCTTTTGATTGAGCAGGTTTGAATCTCTCTTTTTGCAGAATCTACGAGTGGATAATTGGAGAACTTTGAGGCGTACTGTGGAAAATCGAATATCTTCGCATAAAAACTACACAGAAGCATTCTGAGAAACTTCTCTGTCATACGTACATTCATCTCACAGGGTTGATCCTATTTCATGATTGAGCAGTTTTGGAACACTCTTTTTGTAGAATCTGCAAGTGAATATTTGGAGCTCCTTGGGGCCTACTGTGGAAAAACAAATATCTTCACATAAAAACTACACAGAAGCATTCTGAGAAACTACTTTGTGATGTGTGCATTCATCCCACAGAGTAGAACCTTTCTTTTGATTGAGCAGTTTCGAAACACTCTTTTGGTGGAATCTGCAAGTGGACATTTGGAAAGCTTTGAGGCCTATTGTGGAAAGGGAAATATCTTCAAATAAAAACCACCCAGAAGTACTCTGTGAAACTTCTTTGCGATGTATGCATTCAACTCACAGTGTTGAACCTATGTTTTGATTGAGCAGTTTGGAATCTCTCTTTCTGTAGAATCTGCAAGTGAATATTTGGAGCCCTATTTCGCCCTATACTGGAAAAGCAATTATCTTCAAATAAAAACTGCACAGAAGCATTCAGAGAAACTTCTTTGAGATGAATGCATTCATGACACAGAGTTGAAACTTTGTTTTGATTTAGGAGTTTTGAGACAATCTTTCCGTAGAATCTTGAAGTGAATATTTGGAGGGCTTGGAGTTCTGTTTTAGAGAAGGAGATATCTTCATCAAAAACTACACAGAAGCTTTCTGAGAAACTTCTTTGTGATGTGTGCATTCAACTATCGGAGTTGAACCTATCTTATGATTGAGCAGTTTGGAAACACTCTTTGTAGAGTCTGCAAGTGGATATTTACAGAGATTTGAGGCCTATTGTGGAAAAGGAAGTATCTTCACATAAAAACCACACAGAAGCACTCTGAAAAACATCTTTGGGATGTGTGCATTCAACTAACCGTGTTGAAACAATGTTTTGATTGAGCAGCTTAGAATCTCTCTTTTTGTAGGAAATGCAAGTGGATATTTGGAGCCCCATTTCGCCCTATGGTGGAAAACGAAACATACTCACAAAAAAGCTGCAGAGAAGCATTCTGAGAAACTTCTTTGCGATGTTGGCATTCAACTCACAGAGTCGAATCTATCTTTTGATAGAGCAGTTTTGTATCTCTCTTTTTGCAGAATCTGCAAGTGGATATTTGGAAAGCTTTGAGGCCTATTGTGGAAAGGGAAATATCCTCAAATAAAAACTACCCAGAAGCACTCTGTGAAACTTCTTTGTGATGTGTGCATTCAACTCACAGTGTTGAACCTATGTTTTGATTGAGCAGTTTGGAATCTCTCCTTTTGTAGAATCTGCAAGTGAATATTTGGAGCCCTATTTCGCCCTATACTGGAAAAGCAAATATCTTCAAATAAAAACTACACAGAGGCATTCAGAGAAACTTCTCTGTGATGAGTGCATTCATCACACAGAGTTGAACATTTGTTTAGATTTAGCAGTGTTGAGACAATCTTTCCATAGAATCTTGAAGTGAATATTTGGAGGGCTTTGAGACCTGCTTTGGAGAAGGAGATATCTTCATATAAAAACTACACAGAAGCTTTCTGAGAAACACCCTTGTGAGGTGTGCATTGAAGTCACAGAGTTAAACCTATCTTTTGATTCAGCAGATTTGAATCTCTCTTTTTGCAGAATCTGCGAGTGGATATTTGGAGTGCTTGGAAGCCTGCTGTGGAAAATCAAATATCTTCACAAAAAAAACTACACAGAAGCATTCTGAGAAACTTCTTTGTGATGTGTGCATTGATCTCACAGAGTTGAAAGTTTATTTTGATTGAGCTGTTTTGAAACACTCTTTTTCTAGAATCTGCAAGTGGATAATTGGGGAGATTTGAGGCATATTGTGGAAAAGCAAATATCTTCATATAGAAACTATACAGAAACCTTCTGAGAAACATCTTTGTGATGTGTGCATTCAGCTCACAGAGCTGGACCTAACTTTTGAGTGACCAGTTTTGAATCTCTCTTTTTGTACAATATGCAAGTGGATATTTGGAGCGATTTGAGGCCTACATTTGAAAATCAAATATCTTCCCTTAAAAACTACACAGAAACATTCTCAGAAATTGTTTGTCATGTGTGCTTTCCAATTACCAAGTTGAACCTATCTTGTGATTGAGCAGTTTTGAATCTCTCTTTTTGTGGAATCGGCAAGTGGATATTTTTAGCCCTTTGCGGACTGTGGTGGAAAAGGAATTATCTTCAAATCAATTCTACACAGAAGCATTCAGACAAACTTCTTTGTGATGAGTGCATTGGTCACACAGAATTGAACCTTCCCTTTGATTGAGCAATTCTGAAACACTCTTTTGGAGGGTCTGCAAGTGGACATTTTAGAGCTTTGGGACAACTGTGGAAAAGTAAATATCTTCACATAAAAACTACACGGAAGCATTCTGAGAAACTTCTTTGGAGGTGTGCATTCAACTCACAGAGTTGAACCTATCTTTTCATTGAGCAGTTTTGAATCTCTCATTTTGTAGACTCTGCTCGCAGATATTTGGAGAGCTTTGAGGCCTATTGTGGAAAAGGAAATATCTTCACATAAAAACACACAGAAGCACTCTGAGAAACTTCTCTGTGAGGTGTGCTTTCAACTCACAGAGTTGAACCTATCTTTTGATTGAGAAGTTTTGAATCTCTCTTTTTGTAGAAGCTGCATGTGGATATTTGGAGACGTTTGTGGCCTATGGTAGAAAAGGAAATATCTTCAAATAAAAACTAGACAGACGCATTTTGAGAAAATTCTCTGTGCTGTGTGCATTCATATCACATGGTTGAAACTACCTTTGGATTGAGCAGTTTTGAATCTCACTTTTTGTACCATCTGCAATGGATATTTGGAGCCCTTTCTGGTCTGTGGTGGAAAAGGAACTATCCTCAAATAGAAACTACACAGAAGTACTCTGAGAAACTTCTTTGTGATGTGGGCATTCATCTCACAGAGTTGAACCTTTGGTTTGATTGAGCAGTTTTGAGACAATCTTTCCATAGAATCTGGAAGTGAATATTTGGAGAACTTTGAGATCCATTTTGGAGAAGGAGATATCTTTATATAAAAACTACACAGAAGCATTCTGAGAAACATCCTTGTGAGGTGTGCACTGAAGTCACAGAGTTGAAACTGTCTTTTGATTCAGCAGTTTTGAATCTCTCTTTTTGCAGAATCTGTGAGTGGATATTTGGAGCGCTTTGAGGCCTACTGTGGAAAACCAAATATCTTCACATAAAAACTACACAGAAGCATCCTGAGAAACTTTTTTTGTGATGTGGTCTTTCAGCTAATGGAGTAGAAACTATCTTTTGATTGAGCAGTTTTGAATCTCTCTTTTTGCAGGATCTACGAGTGGATAATTGGAGAACTTTGAGGCGTACTGTGGAAAGTCGAATATCTTCGCATAAAAACTACACAGAAGCATTCTGAGAAACTTCTCTGTCATACGTACATTCATCTCACAGGGTTGATCCTATTTCATGATTGAGCAGTTTTGGAACACTCTTTTTGTAGAATCTGCAAGTGAATATTTGGAGCTCTTTGGGGCCTACTGTGGAAAAACAAATATCTTCACATAAAAACTACACAGAAGCATTCTGAGAAACTACTTTGTGATGTGTGCATTCATCCCACAGAGTAGAACCTTTCTTTTGATTGAGCAGTTTCGAAACACTCTTTTGGTGGAATCTGCAAGTGGACATTTGGAAAGCTTTGAGGCCTATTGTGGAAAGGGAAATATCTTCAAATAAAAACCACCCAGAAGTACTCTGTGAAACTTCTTTGCGATGTATGCATTCAACTCACAGTGTTGAACCTATGTTTTGATTGAGCAGTTTGGAATCTCTCTTTCTGTAGAATCTGCAAGTGAATATTTGGAGCCCTATTTCGCCCTATACTGGAAAAGCAATTATCTTCAAATAAAAACTGCACAGAAGCACTCAGAGAAACTTCTTTGTGATGAATGCATTCATCACACAGAGTTGAACCTTTGTTTTGATTTAGCAGTTTGAGACAATCTTTCCGTAGAATCTTGAAGTGAATATTTGGAGGGCTTGGAGTTCTGTTTTAGAGAAGAAGATATCTTCATCAAAAACTACACAGAAGCTTTCTGAGAAACTTCTTTGTGATGTGTGCATTCAACTATCGGAGTTGAACCTATCTTATGATTGAGCAGTTTGGAAACACTCTTTGTGGAGTCTGCAAGTGGATATTTACAGAGATTTGAGGCCTATTGTGGAAAAGGAAGTATCTTCACATAAAAACCACACAGAAGCACTCTGAAAAACATCTTTGGGATGTGTGCATTCAACTAACCGTGTTGAAACAATGTTTTGATTGAGCAGCTTAGAATCTCTCTTTTTGTAGGAAATGCAAGTGGATATTTGGAGCCCCATTTCGCCCTATGGTGGAAAACGAAACATACTCACAAAAAAGCTGCAGAGAAGCATTCTGAGAAACTTCTTTGCGATGTTGGCATTCAACTCACAGAGTCGAATCTATCTTTTGATAGAGCAGTTTTGTATCTCTCTTTTTGCAGAATCTGCAAGTGGATATTTGGAAAGCTTTGAGGCCTATTGTGGAAAGGGAAATATCCTCAAATAAAAACTACCCAGAAGCACTCTGTGAAACTTCTTTGTGATGTGTGCATTCAACTCACAGTGTTGAACCTATGTTTTGATTGAGCAGTTTGGAATCTCTCCTTTTGTAGAATCTGCAAGTGAATATTTGGAGCCCTATTTCGCCCTATACTGGAAAAGCAAATATCTTCAAATAAAAACTACACAGAGGCATTCAGAGAAACGTCTCTGTGATGAGTGCATTCATCACACAGAGTTGAACATTTGTTTAGATTTAGCAGTGTTGAGACAATCTTTCCGTAGAATCTTGAAGTGAATATTTGGAGGGCTTTGAGACCTGCTTTGGAGAAGGAGATATCCTCATATAAAAACTACACAGAAGCTTTCTGAGAAACACCCTTGTGAGGTGTGCATTGAAGTCACAGAGTTAAACCTATCTTTTGATTCAGCAGATTTGAATCTCTCTTTTTGCAGAATCTGCGAGTGGATATTTGGAGTGCTTGGAAGCCTGCTGTGGAAAATCAAATATCTTCACAAAAAAAACTACACAGAAGCATTCTGAGAAACTTCTTTGTGATGTGTGCATTGATCTCACAGAGTTGAAAGTTTATTTTGATTGAGCTGTTTTGAAACACTCTTTTTCTAGAATCTGCAAGTGGATAATTGGGGAGATTTGAGGCATATTGTGGAAAAGCAAATATCTTCATATAGAAACTATACAGAAACCTTCTGAGAAACATCTTTGTGATGTGTGCATTCAGCTCACAGAGCTGGACCTAACTTTTGAGTGACCAGTTTTGAATCTCTCTTTTTGTACAATATGCAAGTGGATATTTGGAGCGATTTGAGGCCTACATTTGAAAATCAAATATCTTCCCTTAAAAACTACACAGAAACATTCTCAGAAATTGTTTGTCATGTGTGCTTTCCAATTACCAAGTTGAACCTATCTTGTGATTGAGCAGTTTTGAATCTCTCTTTTTGTGGAATCGGCAAGTGGATATTTTTAGCCCTTTGCGGACTGTGGTGGAAAAGGAATTATCTTCAAATCAATTCTACACAGAAGCATTCAGACAAACTTCTTTGTGATGAGTGCATTGGTCACACAGAATTGAACCTTCCCTTTGATTGAGCAATTCTGAAACACTCTTTTGGAGGGTCTGCAAGTGGACATTTTAGAGCTTTGGGACAACTGTGGAAAAGTAAATATCTTCACATAAAAACTACACGGAAGCATTCTGAGAAACTTCTTTGGAGGTGTGCATTCAACTCACAGAGTTGAACCTATCTTTTCATTGAGCAGTTTTGAATCTCTCATTTTGTAGACTCTGCTCGCAGATATTTGGAGAGCTTTGAGGCCTATTGTGGAAAAGGAAATATCTTCACCTAAAAACACACAGAAGCACTCTGAGAAACTGCTTTGTGAGGTGTGCTTTCAACTCACAGAGTTGAACCTATCTTTTGATTGAGAAGTTTTGAATCTCTCTTTTTGTAGAAGCTGCATGTGGATATTTGGAGACGTTTGTGGCCTATGGTAGAAAAGGAAATATCTTCAAATAAAAACTAGACAGACGCATTTTGAGAAAATTCTCTGTGCTGTGTGGATTCATATCACCTGGTTGAAACTACCTTTGGATTGAGCAGTTTTGAATCTCACTTTTTGTACCATCTGCAATGGATATTTGGAGCCCTTTCTGGTCTGTGGTGGAAAAGGAACTATCCTCAAATAGAAACTACACAGAAGTACTCTGAGAAACTTCTTTGTGATGTGGGCATTCATCTCACAGAGTTGAACCTTTGGTTTGATTGAGCAGTTTTGAGACAATCTTTCCATAGAATCTGGAAGTGAATATTTGGAGAACTTTGAGATCCATTTTGGAGAAGGAGATATCTTTATATAAAAACTACACAGAAGCATTCTGAGAAACATCCTTGTGAGGTGTGCACTGAAGTCACAGAGTTGAAACTGTCTTTTGATTCAGCAGTTTTGAATCTCTCTTTTTGCAGAATCTGTGAGTGGATATTTGGAGCGCTTTGAGGCCTACTGTGGAAAACCAAATATCTTCACATAAAAACTACACAGAAGCATCCTGAGAAACTTTTTTTGTGATGTGGTCTTTCAGCTAATGGAGTAGAAACTATCTTTTGATTGAGCAGTTTTGAATCTCTCTTTTTGCAGGATCTACGAGTGGATAATTGGAGAACTTTGAGGCGTACTGTGGAAAGTCGAATATCTTCGCATAAAAACTACACAGAAGCATTCTGAGAAACTTCTCTGTCATACGTACATTCATCTCACAGGGTTGATCCTATTTCATGATTGAGCAGTTTTGGAACACTCTTTTTGTAGAATCTGCAAGTGAATATTTGGAGCTCTTTGGGGCCTACTGTGGAAAAACAAATATCTTCACATAAAAACTACACAGAAGCATTCTGAGAAACTACTTTGTGATGTGTGCATTCATCCCACAGCAGTAGAACCTTTCTTTTGATTGAGCAGTTTCGAAACACTCTTTTGGTGGAATCTGCAAGTGGACATTTGGAAAGCTTTGAGGCCTATTGTGGAAAGGGAAATATCTTCAAATAAAAACCACCCAGAAGTACTCTGTGAAACTTCTTTGCGATGTATGCATTCAACTCACAGTGTTGAACCTATGTTTTGATTGAGCAGTTTGGAATCTCTCTTTCTGTAGAATCTGCAAGTGAATATTTGGAGCCCTATTTCGCCCTATACTGGAAAAGCAATTATCTTCAAATAAAAACTGCACAGAAGCATTCAGAGAAAGTTCTTTGAGATGAATGCATTCATGACACAGAGTTGAAACTTTGTTTTGATTTAGGAGTTTTGAGACAATCTTTCCGTAGAATCTTGAAGTGAATATTTGGAGGGCTTGGAGTTCTGTTTTAGAGAAGGAGATATCTTCATCAAAAACTACACAGAAGCTTTCTGAGAAACTTCTTTGTGATGTGTGCATTCAACTATCGGAGTTGAACCTATCTTATGATTGAGCAGTTTGGAAACACTCTTTGTAGAGTCTGCAAGTGGATATTTACAGAGATTTGAGGCCTATTGTGGAAAAGGAAGTATCTTCACATAAAAACCACACAGAAGCACTCTGAAAAACATCTTTGGGATGTGTGCATTCAACTAACCGTGTTGAAACAATGTTTTGATTGAGCAGCTTAGAATCTCTCTTTTTGTAGGAAATGCAAGTGGATATTTGGAGCCCCATTTCGCCCTATGGTGGAAAACGAAACATACTCACAAAAAAGCTGCAGAGAAGCATTCTGAGAAACTTCTTTGCGATGTTGGCATTCAACTCACAGAGTCGAATCTATCTTTTGATAGAGCAGTTTTGTATCTCTCTTTTTGCAGAATCTGCAAGTGGATATTTGGAAAGCTTTGAGGCCTATTGTGGAAAGGGAAATATCCTCAAATAAAAACTACCCAGAAGCACTCTGTGAAACTTCTTTGTGATGTGTGCATTCAACTCACAGTGTTGAACCTATGTTTTGATTGAGCAGTTTGGAATCTCTCCTTTTGTAGAATCTGCAAGTGAATATTTGGAGCCCTATTTCGCCCTATACTGGAAAAGCAAATATCTTCAAATAAAAACTACACAGAGGCATTCAGAGAAACTTCTCTGTGATGAGTGCATTCATCACACAGAGTTGAACATTTGTTTAGATTTAGCAGTGTTGAGACAATCTTTCCGTAGAATCTTGAAGTGAATATTTGGAGGGCTTTGAGACCTGCTTTGGAGAAGGAGATATCTTCATATAAAAACTACACAGAAGCTTTCTGAGAAACACCCTTGTGAGGTGTGCATTGAAGTCACAGAGTTAAACCTATCTTTTGATTCAGCAGATTTGAATCTCTCTTTTTGCAGAATCTGCGAGTGGATATTTGGAGTGCTTGGAAGCCTGCTGTGGAAAATCAAATATCTTCACAAAAAAAACTACACAGAAGCATTCTGAGAAACTTCTTTGTGATGTGTGCATTGATCTCACAGAGTTGAAAGTTTATTTTGATTGAGCTGTTTTGAAACACTCTTTTTCTAGAATCTGCAAGTGGATAATTGGGGAGATTTGAGGCATATTGTGGAAAAGCAAATATCTTCATATAGAAACTATACAGAAACCTTCTGAGAAACATCTTTGTGATGTGTGCATTCAGCTCACAGAGTGGACCTAACTTTTGAGTGACCAGTTTTGAATCTCTCTTTTTGTACAATATGCAAGTGGATATTTGGAGCGATTTGAGGCCTACATTTGAAAATCAAATATCTTCCCTTAAAAACTACACAGAAACATTCTCAGAAATTGTTTGTCATGTGTGCTTTCCAATTACCAAGTTGAACCTATCTTGTGATTGAGCAGTTTTGAATCTCTCTTTTTGTGGAATCGGCAAGTGGATATTTTTAGCCCTTTGCGGACTGTGGTGGAAAAGGAATTATCTTCAAATCAATTCTACACAGAAGCATTCAGACAAACTTCTTTGTGATGAGTGCATTGGTCACACAGAATTGAACCTTCCCTTTGATTGAGCAATTCTGAAACACTCTTTTGGAGGGTCTGCAAGTGGACATTTTAGAGCTTTGGGACAACTGTGGAAAAGTAAATATCTTCACATAAAAACTACACGGAAGCATTCTGAGAAACTTCTTTGGAGGTGTGCATTCAACTCACAGAGTTGAACCTATCTTTTCATTGAGCAGTTTTGAATCTCTCATTTTGTAGACTCTGCTCGCAGATATTTGGAGAGCTTTGAGGCCTATTGTGGAAAAGGAAATATCTTCACATAAAAACACACAGAAGCACTCTGAGAAACTTCTCTGTGAGGTGTGCTTTCAACTCACAGAGTTGAACCTATCTTTTGATTGAGAAGTTTTGAATCTCTCTTTTTGTAGAAGCTGCATGTGGATATTTGGAGACGTTTGTGGCCTATGGTAGAAAAGGAAATATCTTCAAATAAAAACTAGACAGACGCATTTTGAGAAAATTCTCTGTGCTGTGTGCATTCATATCACATGGTTGAAACTACCTTTG
Organism: Homo sapiens; assembly: GCF_000001405.40. Taxonomy (NCBI): domain Eukaryota; kingdom Metazoa; phylum Chordata; class Mammalia; order Primates; family Hominidae; genus Homo; species Homo sapiens. Next base: position 17,680,781 of record NC_000015.10, read on the forward strand.
GATTGAGCAGTTTTGAATCTCACTTTTTGTACCATCTGCAATGGATATTTGGAGCCCTTTCTGGTCTGTGGTGGAAAAGGAACTATCCTCAAATAGAAACTACACAGAAGTACTCTGAGAAACTTCTTTGTGATGTGGGCATTCATCTCACAGAGTTGAAACTTTGGTTTGATTGAGCAGTTTTGAGACAATCTTTCCATAGAATCTGGAAGTGAATATTTGGAGAACTTTGAGATCCATTTTGGAGAAGGAGATATCTTTATATAAAAACTACACAGAAGCATTCTGAGAAACATCCTTGTGAGGTGTGCACTGAAGTCACAGAGTTGAAACTGTCTTTTGATTCAGCAGTTTTGAATCTCTCTTTTTGCAGAATCTGTGAGTGGATATTTGGAGCGCTTTGAGGCCTACTGTGGAAAACCAAATATCTTCACATAAAAACTACACAGAAGCATCCTGAGAAACTTTTTTTGTGATGTGGTCTTGCAGCTAATGGAGTAGAAACTATCTTTTGATTGAGCAGTTTTGAATCTCTCTTTTTGCAGAATCTACGAGTGGATAATTGGAGAACTTTGAGGCGTACTGTGGAAAATCGAATATCTTCGCATAAAAACTACACAGAAAGCATTCTGAGAAACTTCTCTGTCATACGTACATTCATCTCACAGGGTTGATCCTATTTCATGATTGAGCAGTTTTGGAACACTCTTTTTGTAGAATCTGCAAGTGAATATTTGGAGCTCTTTGGGGCCTACTGTGGAAAAACAAATATCTTCACATAAAAACTACACAGAAGCATTCTGAGAAACTACTTTGTGATGTGTGCATTCATCCCACAGAGTAGAACCTTTCTTTTGATTGAACAGTTTCGAAACACTCTTTTGGTGGAATCTGCAAGTGGACATTTGGAAAGCTTTGAGGCCTATTGTGGAAAGGGAAATATCTTCAAATAAAAACCACCCAGAAGTACTCTGTGAAACTTCTTTGCGATGTATGCATTCAACTCACAGTGTTGAACCTATGTTTTGATTGAGCAGTTTGGAATCTCTCTTTCTGTAGAATCTGCAAGTGAATATTTGGAGCCCTATTTCGCCCTATACTGGAAAAGCAATTATCTTCAAATAAAAACTGCACAGAAGCATTCAGAGAAAGTTCTTTGAGATGAATGCATTCATGACACAGAGTTGAAACTTTGTTTTGATTTAGGAGTTTTGAGACAATCTTTCCGTAGAATCTTGAAGTGAATATTTGGAGGGCTTGGAGTTCTGTTTTAGAGAAGGAGATATCTTCATCAAAAACTACACAGAAGCTTTCTGAGAAACTTCTTTGTGATGTGTGCATTCAACTATCGGAGTTGAACCTATCTTATGATTGAGCAGTTTGGAAACACTCTTTGTAGAGTCTGCAAGTGGATATTTACAGAGATTTGAGGCCTATTGTGGAAAAGGAAGTATCTTCACATAAAAACCACACAGAAGCACTCTGAAAAACATCTTTGGGATGTGTGCATTCAACTAACCGTGTTGAAACAATGTTTTGATTGAGCAGCTTAGAATCTCTCCTTTTGTAGGAAATGCAAGTGGATATTTGGAGCCCCATTTCGCCCTATGGTGGAAAACGAAACATACTCACAAAAAAGCTGCAGAGAAGCATTCTGAGAAACTTCTTTGCGATGTTGGCATTCAACTCACAGAGTCGAATCTATCTTTTGATAGAGCAGTTTTGTATCTCTCTTTTTGCAGAATCTGCAAGTGGATATTTGGAAAGCTTTGAGGCCTATTGTGGAAAGGGAAATATCCTCAAATAAAAACTACCCAGAAGCACTCTGTGAAACTTCTTTGTGATGTGTGCATTCAACTCACAGTGTTGAACCTACGTTTTGATTGAGCAGTTTGGAATCTCTCCTTTTGTAGAATCTGCAAGTGAATATTTGGAGCCCTATTTCGCCCTATACTGGAAAAGCAAATATCTTCAAATAAAAACTACACAGAGGCATTCAGAGAAACTTCTCTGTGATGAGTGCATTCATCACACAGAGTTGAACATTTGTTTAGATTTAGCAGTGTTGAGACAATCTTTCCGTAGAATCTTGAAGTGAATATTTGGAGGGCTTTGAGACCTGCTTTGGAGAAGGAGATATCTTCATATAAAAACTACACAGAAGCTTTCTGAGAAACACCCTTGTGAGGTGTGCATTGAAGTCACAGAGTTAAACCTATCTTTTGATTCAGCAGATTTGAATCTCTCTTTTTGCAGAATCTGCGAGTGGATATTTGGAGTGCTTGGAAGCCTGCTGTGGAAAATCAAATATCTTCACAAAAAAAACTACACAGAAGCATTCTGAGAAACTTCTTTGTGATGTGTGCATTGATCTCACAGAGTTGAAAGTTTATTTTGATTGAGCTGTTTTGAAACACTCTTTTTCTAGAATCTGCAAGTGGATAATTGGGGAGATTTGAGGCATATTGTGGAAAAGCCAATATCTTCATATAGAAACTATACAGAAACCTTCTGAGAAACATCTTTGTGATGTGTGCATTCAGCTCACAGAGCTGGACCTAACTTTTGAGTGACCAGTTTTGAATCTCTCTTTTTGTACAATATGCAAGTGGATATTTGGAGCGATTTGAGGCCTACATTTGAAAATCAAATATCTTCCCTTAAAAACTACACAGAAACATTCTCAGAAATTGTTTGTCATGTGTGCTTTCCAATTACCAAGTTGAACCTATCTTGTGATTGAGCAGTTTTGAATCTCTCTTTTTGTGGAATCGGCAAGTGGATATTTTTAGCCCTTTGCGGACTGTGGTGGAAAAGGAATTATCTTCAAATCAATTCTACACAGAAGCATTCAGACAAACTTCTTTGTGATGAGTGCATTGGTCACACAGAATTGAACCTTCCCTTTGATTGAGCAATTCTGAAACACTCTTTTGGAGGGTCTGCAAGTGGACATTTTAGAGCTTTGGGACAACTGTGGAAAAGTAAATATCTTCACATAAAAACTACACGGAAGCATTCTGAGAAACTTCTTTGGAGGTGTGCATTCAACTCACAGAGTTGAACCTATCTTTTCATTGAGCAGTTTTGAATCTCTCATTTTGTAGACTCTGCTCGCAGATATTTGGAGAGCTTTGAGGCCTATTGTGGAAAAGGAAATATCTTCACATAAAAACACACAGAAGCACTCTGAGAAACTTCTTTGTGAGGTGTGCTTTCAACTCACAGAGTTGAACCTATCTTTTCATTGAGAAGTTTTGAATCTCTCTTTTTGTAGAAGCTGCATGTGGATATTTGGAGACGTTTGTGGCCTATGGTAGAAAAGGAAATATCTTCAAATAAAAACTAGACAGACGCATTTTGAGAAAATTCTCTGTGCTGTGTGCATTCATATCACATGGTTGAAACTACCTTTGGATTGAGCAGTTTTGAATCTCACTTTTTGTACCATCTGCAATGGATATTTGGAGCCCTTTCTGGTCTGTGGTGGAAAAGGAACTATCCTCAAATAGAAACTACACAGAAGTACTCTGAGAAACTTCTTTGTGATGTGGGCATTCATCTCACAGAGTTGAACCTTTGGTTTGATTGAGCAGTTTTGAGACAATCTTTCCATAGAATCTGGAAGTGAATATTTGGAGAACTTTGAGATCCATTTTGGAGAAGGAGATATCTTTATATAAAAACTACACAGAAGCATTCTGAGAAACATCCTTGTGAGGTGTGCACTGAAGTCACAGAGTTGAAACTGTCTTTTGATTCAGCAGTTTTGAATCTCTCTTTTTGCAGAATCTGTGAGTGGATATTTGGAGCGCTTTGAGGCCTACTGTGGAAAACCAAATATCTTCACATAAAAACTACACAGAAGCATCCTGAGAAACTTTTTTTGTGATGTGGTCTTTCAGCTAATGGAGTAGAAACTATCTTTTGATTGAGCAGTTTTGAATCTCTCTTTTTGCAGGATCTACGAGTGGATAATTGGAGAACTTTGAGGCGTACTGTGGAAAGTCGAATATCTTCGCATAAAAACTACACAGAAGCATTCTGAGAAACTTCTCTGTCATACGTACATTCATCTCACAGGGTTGATCCTATTTCATGATTGAGCAGTTTTGGAACACTCTTTTTGTAGAATCTGCAAGTGAATATTTGGAGCTCTTTGGGGCCTACTGTGGAAAAACAAATATCTTCACATAAAAACTACACAGGAAGCATTCTGAGAAACTACTTTGTGATGTGTGCATTCATCCCACAGAGTAGAACCTTTCTTTTGATTGAGCAGTTTCGAAACACTCTTTTGGTGGAATCTGCAAGTGGACATTTGGAAAGCTTTGAGGCCTATTGTGGAAAGGGAAATATCTTCAAATAAAAACCACCCAGAAGTACTCTGTGAAACTTCTTTGCGATGTATGCATTCAACTCACAGTGTTGAACCTATGTTTTGATTGAGCAGTTTGGAATCTCTCTTTCTGTAGAATCTGCAAGTGAATATTTGGAGCCCTATTTCGCCCTATACTGGAAAAGCAATTATCTTCAAATAAAAACTGCACAGAAGCATTCAGAGAAAGTTCTTTGAGATGAATGCATTCATGACACAGAGTTGAAACTTTGTTTTGATTTAGGAGTTTTGAGACAATCTTTCCGTAGAATCTTGAAGTGAATATTTGGAGGGCTTGGAGTTCTGTTTTAGAGAAGGAGATATCTTCATCAAAAACTACACAGAAGCTTTCTGAGAAACTTCTTTGTGATGTGTGCATTCAACTATCGGAGTTGAACCTATCTTATGATTGAGCAGTTTGGAAACACTCTTTGTAGAGTCTGCAAGTGGATATTTACAGAGATTTGAGGCCTATTGTGGAAAAGGAAGTATCTTCACATAAAAACCACACAGAAGCACTCTGAAAAACACCTTTGGGATGTGTGCATTCAACTAACCGTGTTGAAACAATGTTTTGATTGAGCAGCTTAGAATCTCTCTTTTTGTAGGAAATGCAAGTGGATATTTGGAGCCCCATTTCGCCCTATGGTGGAAAACGAAACATACTCACAAAAAAGCTGCAGAGAAGCATTCTGAGAAACTTCTTTGCGATGTTGGCATTCAACTCACAGAGTCGAATCTATCTTTTGATAGAGCAGTTTTGTATCTCTCTTTTTGCAGAATCTGCAAGTGGATATTTGGAAAGCTTTGAGGCCTATTGTGGAAAGGGAAATATCCTCAAATAAAAACTACCCAGAAGCACTCTGTGAAACTTCTTTGTGATGTGTGCATTCAACTCACAGTGTTGAACCTATGTTTTGATTGAGCAGTTTGGAATCTCTCCTTTTGTAGAATCTGCAAGTGAATATTTGGAGCCCTATTTCGCCCTATACTGGAAAAGCAAATATCTTCAAATAAAAACTACACAGAGGCATTCAGAGAAACTTCTCTGTGATGAGTGCATTCATCACACAGAGTTGAACATTTGTTTAGATTTAGCAGTGTTGAGACAATCTTTCCGTAGAATCTTGAAGTGAATATTTGGAGGGCTTTGAGACCTGCTTTGGAGAAGGAGATATCTTCATATAAAAACTACACAGAAGCTTTCTGAGAAACACCCTTGTGAGGTGTGCATTGAAGTCACCGAGTTAAACCTATCTTTTGATTCAGCAGATTTGAATCTCTCTTTTTGCAGAATCTGCGAGTGGATATTTGGAGTGCTTGGAAGCCTGCTGTGGAAAATCAAATATCTTCACAAAAAAAACTACACAGAAGCATTCTGAGAAACTTCTTTGTGATGTGTGCATTGATCTCACAGAGTTGAAAGTTTATTTTGATTGAGCTGTTTTGAAACACTCTTTTTCTAGAATCTGCAAGTGGATAATTGGGGAGATTTGAGGCATATTGTGGAAAAGCAAATATCTTCATATAGAAACTATACAGAAACCTTCTGAGAAACATCTTTGTGATGTGTGCATTCAGCTCACAGAGCTGGACCTAACTTTTGAGTGACCAGTTTTGAATCTCTCTTTTTGTACAATATGCAAGTGGATATTTGGAGCGATTTGAGGCCTACATTTGAAAATCAAATATCTTCCCTTAAAAACTACACAGAAACATTCTCAGAAATTGTTTGTCATGTGTGCTTTCCAATTACCAAGTTGAACCTATCTTGTGATTGAGCAGTTTTGAATCTCTCTTTTTGTGGAATCGGCAAGTGGATATTTTTAGCCCTTTGCGGACTGTGGTGGAAAAGGAATTATCTTCAAATCAATTCTACACAGAAGCATTCAGACAAACTTCTTTGTGATGAGTGCATTGGTCACACAGAATTGAACCTTCCCTTTGATTGAGCAATTCTGAAACACTCTTTTGGAGGGTCTGCAAGTGGACATTTTAGAGCTTTGGGACAACTGTGGAAAAGTAAATATCTTCACATAAAAACTACACGGAAGCATTCTGAGAAACTTCTTTGGAGGTGTGCATTCAACTCACAGAGTTGAACCTATCTTTTCATTGAGCAGTTTTGAATCTCTCATTTTGTAGACTCTGCTCGCAGATATTTGGAGAGCTTTGAGGCCTATTGTGGAAAAGGAAATATCTTCACATAAAAACACACAGAAGCACTCTGAGAAACTTCTCTGTGAGGTGTGCTTTCAACTCACAGAGTTGAACCTATCTTTTGATTGAGAAGTTTTGAATCTCTCTTTTTGTAGAAGCTGCATGTGGATATTTGGAGACGTTTGTGGCCTATGGTAGAAAAGGAAATATCTTCAAATAAAAACTAGACAGACGCATTTTGAGAAAATTCTCTGTGCTGTGTGCATTCATATCACATGGTTGAAACTACCTTTGGATTGAGCAGTTTTGAATCTCACTTTTTGTACCATCTGCAATGGATATTTGGAGCCCTTTCTGGTCTGTGGTGGAAAAGGAACTATCCTCAAATAGAAACTACACAGAAGTACTCTGAGAAACTTCTTTGTGATGTGGGCATTCATCTCACAGAGTTGAACCTTTGGTTTGATTGAGCAGTTTTGAGACAATCTTTCCATAGAATCTGGAAGTGAATATTTGGAGAACTTTGAGATCCATTTTGGAGAAGGAGATAACTTTATATGAAAACTACACAGAAGCATTCTGAGAAACATCCTTGTGAGGTGTGCACTGAAGTCACAGAGTTGAAACTGTCTTTTGATTCAGCAGTTTTGAATCTCTCTTTTTGCAGAATCTGTGAGTGGATATTTGGAGCGCTTTGAGGCCTACTGTGGAAAACCAAATATCTTCACATAAAAACTACACAGAAGCATCCTGAGAAACTTTTTTTGTGATGTGGTCTTTCAGCTAATGGAGTAGAAACTATCTTTTGATTGAGCAGTTTTGAATCTCTCATTTTGCAGAATCTACGAGTGGATAATTGGAGAACTTTGAGGCGTACTGTGGAAAATCGAATATCTTCGCATAAAAACTACACAGAAGCATTCTGAGAAACTTCTCTGTCATACGTACATTCATCTCACAGGGTTGATCCTATTTCATGATTGAGCAGTTCTGGAACACTCTTTTTGTAGAATCTGCAAGTGAATATTTGGAGCTCTTTGGGGCCTACTGTGGAAAAACAAATATCTTCACATAAAAACTACACAGAAGCATTCTGAGAAACTACTTTGTGATGTGTGCATTCATCCCACAGAGTAGAACCTTTCTTTTGATTGAGCAGTTTCGAAACACTCTTTTGGTGGAATCTGCAAGTGGACATTTGGAAAGCTTTGAGGCCTATTGTGGAAAGGGAAATATCTTCAAATAAAAACCACCCAGAAGTACTCTGTGAAACTTCTTTGCGATGTATGCATTCAACTCACAGTGTTGAACCTATGTTTTGATTGAGCAGTTTGGAATCTCTCTTTCTGTAGAATCTGCAAGTGAATATTTGGAGCCCTATTTCGCCCTATACTGGAAAAGCAATTATCTTCAAATAAAAACTGCACAGAAGCACTCAGAGAAACTTCTTTGTGATGAATGCATTCATCACACAGAGTTGAACCTTTGTTTTGATTTAGCAGTTTGAGACAATCTTTCCGTAGAATCTTGAAGTGAATATTTGGAGGGCTTGGAGTTCTGTTTTAGAGAAGGAGATATCTTCATCAAAAACTACACAGAAGCTTTCTGAGAAACTTCTTTGTGATGTGTGCATTCAACTATCGGAGTTGAACCTATCTTATGATTGAGGAGTTTGGAAACACTCTTTGTAGAGTCTGCAAGTGGATATTTACAGAGATTTGAGGCCTATTGTGGAAAAGGAAGTATCTTCACATAAAAACCACACAGAAGCACTCTGAAAAACATCTTTGGGATGTGTGCATTCAACTAACCGTGTTGAAACAATGTTTTGATTGAGCAGCTTAGAATCTCTCTTTTTGTAGGAAATGCAAGTGGATATTTGGAGCCCCATTTCGCCCTATGGTGGAAAACGAAACATACTCACAAAAAAGCTGCAGAGAAGCATTCTGAGAAACTTCTTTGCGATGTTGGCATTCAACTCACAGAGTCGAATCTATCTTTTGATAGAGCAGTTTTGTATCTCTCTTTTTGCAGAATCTGCAAGTGGATATTTGGAAAGCTTTGAGGCCTATTGTGGAAAGGGAAATATCCTCAAATAAAAACTACCCAGAAGCACTCTGTGAAACTTCTTTGTGATGTGTGCATTCAACTCACAGTGTTGAACCTATGTTTTGATTGAGCAGTTTGGAATCTCTCCTTTTGTAGAATCTGCAAGTGAATATTTGGAGCCCTATTTCGCCCTATACTGGAAAAGCAAATATCTTCAAATAAAAACTACACAGAGGCATTCAGAGAAACTTCTCTGTGATGAGTGCATTCATCACACAGAGTTGAACATTTGTTTAGATTTAGCAGTGTTGAGACAATCTTTCCGTAGAATCTTGAAGTGAATATTTGGAGGGCTTTGAGACCTGCTTTGGAGAAGGAGATATCTTCATATAAAAACTACACAGAAGCTTTCTGAGAAACACCCTTGTGAGGTGTGCATTGAAGTCACAGAGTTAAACCTATCTTTTGATTCAGCAGATTTGAATCTCTCTTTTTGCAGAATCTGCGAGTGGATATTTGGAGTGCTTGGAAGCCTGCTGTGGAAAATCAAATATCTTCACAAAAAAAACTACACAGAAGCATTCTGAGAAACTTCTTTGTGATGTGTGCATTGATCTCACAGAGTTGAAAGTTTATTTTGATTGAGCTGTTTTGAAACACTCTTTTTCTAGAATCTGCAAGTGGATAATTGGGGAGATTTGAGGCATATTGTGGAAAAGCAAATATCTTCATATAAAAAGTATACAGAAACCTTCTGAGAAACATCTTTGTGATGTGTGCATTCAGCTCACAGAGCTGGACGTAACTTTCGAGTGACCAGTTTTGAATCTCTCTTTTTGTACAATATGCAAGTGGATATTTGGAGCGATTTGAGGCCTACATTTGAAAATCAAATATCTTCCCTTAAAAACTACACAGAAACATTCTCAGAAATTGTTTGTCATGTGTGCTTTCCAATTACCAAGTTGAACCTATCTTGTGATTGAGCAGTTTTGAATCTCTCTTTTTGTGGAATCGGCAAGTGGATATTTTTAGCCCTTTGCGGACTGTGGTGGAAAAGGAATTATCTTCAAATCAATTCTACACAGAAGCATTCAGACAAACTTCTTTGTGATGAGTGCATTGGTCACACAGAATTGAACCTTCCCTTTGATTGAGCAATTCTGAAACACTCTTTTGGAGGGTCTGCAAGTGGACATTTTAGAGCTTTGTGACAACTGTGGAAAAGTAAATATCTTCACATAAAAACTACACGGAAGCATTCTGAGAAACTTCTTTGGAGGTGTGCATTCAACTCACAGAGTTGAACCTATCTTTTGATTGAGAAGTTTGGAATCTCTCTTTTTGTAGAAGCTGCATGTGGATATTTGGAGACGTTTGTGGCCTATGGTAGAAAAGAAAATATCTTCAAATAAAAACTAGACAGACGCATTTTGAGAAAATTCTCTGTGCTGTGTGCATTCATATCACATGGTTGAAACTACCTTTGGATTGAGCAGTTTTGAATCTCACTTTTTGTACCATCTGCAATGGATATTTGGAGCCCTTTCTGGTCTGTGGTGGAAAAGGAACTATCCTCAAATAGAAACTACACAGAATTACTCTGAGAAACTTCTTTGTGATGTAGGCATTCATCTCACAGAGTTGAACCTTTGGTTTGATTGAGCAGTTTTGAGACAATCTTTCCATAGAATCTGGAAGTGAATATTTGGAGAACTTTGAGATCCATTTTGGAGAAGGAGATATCTTTATATTAAAACTACACAGAAGCATTCTGAGAAACATCCTTGTGAGGTGTGCACTGAAGTCACAGAGTTGAAACTGTCTTTTGATTCAGCAGTTTTGAATCTCTCTTTTTGCAGAATCAGTGAGTGGATATTTGGAGCGCTTTGAGGCCTACTGTGGAAAACCAAATATCTTCACATAAAAACTACACAGAAGCATCCTGAGAAACTTTTTTTGTGATGTGGTCTTTCAGCTAATGGAGTAGAAACTATCTTTTGATTGAGCAGTTTTGAATCTCTCTTTTTGCGGGATCTACGAGTGGATAATTGGAGAACTTTGAGGCGTACTGTGGAAAGTCGAATATCTTCGCATAAAAACTACACAGAAGCATTCTGAGAAACTTCTCTGTCATACGTACATTCATCTCACAGGGTTGATCCTATTTCATGATTGAGCAGTTTTGGAACACTCTTTTTGTAGAATCTGCAAGTGAATATTTGGAGCTCCTTGGGGCCTACTGTGGAAAAACAAATATCTTCACATAAAAACTACACAGAAGCATTCTGAGAAACTACTTTGTGATGTGTGCATTCATCCCACAGAGTAGAACCTTTCTTTTGATTGAGCAGTCTCGAAACACTCTTTTGGTGGAATCTGCAAGTGGACATTTGGAAAGCTTTGAGGCCTATTGTGGAAAGGGAAATATCTTCAAATAAAAACCACCCAGAAGTACTCTGTGAAACTTCTTTGCGATGTACGCATTCAACTCACAGTGTTGAACCTATGTTTTGATTGAGCAGTTTGGAATCTCTCTTTCTGTAGAATCTGCAAGTGAATATTTGGAGCCCTATTTCGCCCTATACTGGAAAAGCAATTATCTTCAAATAAAAACTGCACAGAAGCACTCAGAGAAACTTCTTTGAGATGAATGCATTCATGACACAGAGTTGAAACTTTGTTTTGATTTAGGAGTTTTGAGACAATCTTTCCGTAGAATCTTGAAGTGTATATTTGGAGGGCTTGGAGTTCTGTTTTAGAGAAGAAGATATCTTCATCAAAAACTACACAGAAGCTTTCTGAGAAACTTCTTTGTGATGTGTGCATTCAACTATCGGAGTTGAACCTATCTTATGATTGAGCAGTTTGGAAACACTCTTTGTAGAGTCTGCAAGTGGATATTTACAGAGATTTGAGGCCTATTGTGGAAAAGGAAGTATCTTCACATAAAAACCACACAGAAGCACTCTGAAAAACATCTTTGGGATGTGTGCATTCAACTAACCGTGTTGAAACAATGTTTTGATTGAGCAGCTTAGAATCTCTCTTTTTGTAGGAAATGCAAGTGGATATTTGGAGCCCCATTTCGCCCTATGGTGGAAAACGAAACATACTCACAAAAAAGCTGCAGAGAAGCATTCTGAGAAACTTCTTTGCGATGTTGGCATTCAACTCACAGAGTCGAATCTATCTTTTGATAGAGCAGTTTTGTATCTCTCTTTTTGCAGAATCTGCAAGTGGATATTTGGAAAGCTTTGAGGCCTATTGTGGAAAGGGAAATATCCTCAAATAAAAACTACCCAGAAGCACTCTGTGAAACTTCTTTGTGATGTGTGCATTCAACTCACAGTGTTGAACCTATGTTTTGATTGAGCAGTTTGGAATCTCTCCTTTTGTAGAATCTGCAAGTGAATATTTGGAGCCCTATTTCGCCCTATACTGGAAAAGCAAATATCTTCAAATAAAAACTACACAGAGGCATTCAGAGAAACTTCTCTGTGATGAGTGCATTCATCACACAGAGTTGAACATTTGTTTAGATTTAGCAGTGTTGAGACAATCTTTCCGTAGAATCTTGAAGTGAATATTTGGAGGGCTTTGAGACCTGCTTTGGAGAAGGAGATATCTTCATATAAAAACTACACAGAAGCTTTCTGAGAAACACCCTTGTGAGGTGTGCATTGAAGTCACAGAGTTAAACCTATCTTTTGATTCAGCAGTTTGAATCTCTCTTTTTGCAGAATCTGCGAGTGGATATTTGGAGTGCTTGGAAGCCTGCTGTGGAAAATCAAATATCTTCACAAAAAAAACTACACAGAAGCATTCTGAGAAACTTCTTTGTGATGTGTGCATTGATCTCACAGAGTTGAAAGTTTATTTTGATTGAGCTGTTTTGAAACACTCTTTTTCTAGAATCTGCAAGTGGATAATTGGGGAGATTTGAGGCATATTGTGGAAAAGCAAATATCTTCATATAGAAACTATACAGAAACCTTCTGAGAAACATCTTTGTGATGTGTGCATTCAGCTCACAGAGCTGGACCTAACTTTTGAGTGACCAGTTTTGAATCTCTCTTTTTGTACAATATGCAAGTGGATATTTGGAGCGATTTGAGGCCTACATTTGAAAATCAAATATCTTCCCTTAAAAACTACACAGAAACATTCTCAGAAATTGTTTGTCATGTGTGCTTTCCAATTACCAAGTTGAACCTATCTTGTGATTGAGCAGTTTTGAATCTCTCTTTTTGTGGAATCGGCAAGTGGATATTTTTAGCCCTTTGCGGACTGTGGTGGAAAAGGAATTATCTTCAAATCAATTCTACACAGAAGCATTCAGACAAACTTCTTTGTGATGAGTGCATTGGTCACACAGAATTGAACCTTCCCTTTGATTGAGCAATTCTGAAACACTCTTTTGGAGGGTCTGCAAGTGGACATTTTAGAGCTTTGGGACAACTGTGGAAAAGTAAATATCTTCACATAAAAACTACACGGAAGCATTCTGAGAAACTTCTTTGGAGGTGTGCATTCAACTCACAGAGTTGAACCTATCTTTTCATTGAGCAGTTTTGAATCTCTCATTTTGTAGACTCTGCTCGCAGATATTTGGAGAGCTTTGAGGCCTATTGTGGAAAAGGAAATATCTTCACATAAAAACACACAGAAGCACTCTGAGAAACTTCTTTGTGAGGTGTGCTTTCAACTCACAGAGTTGAACCTATCTTTTGATTGAGAAGTTTTGAATCTCTCTTTTTGTAGAAGCTGCATGTGGATATTTGGAGACGTTTGTGGCCTGTGGTAGAAAAGGAAATATCTTCAAATAAAAACTAGACAGACGCATTTTGAGAAAATTCTCTGTGCTGTGTGCATTCATATCACATGGTTGAAACTACCTTTGGATTAAGCAGTTTTGAATCTCACTTTTTGTACCATCTGCAATGGATATTTGGAGCCCTTTCTGGTCTGTGGTGGAAAAGGAACTATCCTCAAATAGAAACTACACAGAAGTACTCTGAAAAACTTCTTTGTGATGTGTGCATTCATCTCACAGAGTTGAACCTTTGGTTTGATTGAGCAGTTTTGAGACAATCTTTCCATAGAATCTGGAAGTGAATATTTGGAGAACTTTGAGATCCATTTTGGAGAAGGAGATATCTTTATATAAAAACTACACAGAAGCATTCTGAGAAACATCCTTGTGAGGTGTGCACTGAAGTCACAGAGTTGAAACTGTCTTTTGATTCAGCAGTTTTGAATCTCTCTTTTTGCAGAATCTGTGAGTGGATATTTGGAGCGCTTTGAGGCCTACTGTGGAAAACCAAATATCTTCACATAAAAACTACACAGAAGCATCCTGAGAAACTTTTTTTGTGATGTGGTCTTTCAGCTAATGGAGTAGAAACTATCTTTTGATTGAGCAGTTTTGAATCTCTCTTTTTGCAGGATCTACGAGTGGCTAATTGGAGAACTTTGAGGCGTACTGTGGAAAGTCGAATATCTTCGCATAAAAACTACACAGAAGCATTCTGAGAAACTTCTCTGTCATACGTACATTCATCTCACAGGGTTGATCCTATTTCATGATGGAGCAGTTTTGGAACACTCTTTTTGTAGAATCTGCAAGTGAATATTTGGAGCTCTTTGGGGCCTACTGTGGAAAAACAAATATCTTCACATAAAAACTACACAGAAGCATTCTGAGAAACTACTTTGTGATGTGTGCATTCATCCCACAGAGTAGAACCTTTCTTTTGATTGAGCAGTTTCGAAACACTCTTTTGGTGGAATCTGCAAGTGGACATTTGGAAAGCTTTGAGGCCTATTGTGGAAAGGGAAATATCTTCAAATAAAAACCACCCAGAAGTACTCTGTGAAACTTCTTTGTGATGTATGCATTCAACTCACAGTGTTGAACCTATGTTTTGATTGAGCAGTTTGGAATCTCTCTTTCTGTAGAATCTGCAAGTGAATATTTGGAGCCCTATTTCGCCCTATACTGGAAAAGCAATTATCTTCAAATAAAAACTGCACAGAAGCACTCAGAGAAACTTCTTTGTGATGAATGCATTCATCACACAGAGTTGAACCTTTGTTTTGATTTAGCAGTTTGAGACAATCTTTCCGTAGAATCTTGAAGTGAATATTTGGAGGGCTTGGAGTTCTGTTTTAGAGAAGGAGATATCTTCATCAAAAACTACACAGAAGCTTTCTGAGAAACTTCTTTGTGATGTGTGCATTCAACTATCGGAGTTGAACCTATCTTATGATTGAGGAGTTTGGAAACACTCTTTGTAGAGTCTGCAAGTGGATATTTACAGAGATTTGTGGCCTATTGTGGAAAAGGAAGTATCTTCACCTAAAAACCACACAGAAGCACTCTGAAAAACATCTTTGGGATGTGTGCATTCAACTAACCGTGTTGAAACAATGTTTTGATTTAGCAGCTTAGAATCTCTCTTTTTGTAGGAAATGCAAGTGGATATTTGGAGCCCCATTTCGCCCTATGGTGGAAAACGAAACATACTCACAAAAAAGCTGCAGAGAAGCATTCTGAGAAACTTCTTTGCGATGTTGGCATTCAACTCACAGAGTCGAATCTATCTTTTGATAGAGCAGTTTTGTATCTCTCTTTTTGCAGAATCTGCAAGTGGATATTTGGAAAGCTTTGAGGCCTATTGTGGAAAGGGAAATATCCTCAAATAAAAACTACCCAGAAGCACTCTGTGAAACTTCTTTGTGATGTGTGCATTCAACTCACAGTGTTGAACCTATGTTTTGATTGAGCAGTTTGGAATCTCTCCTTTTGTAGAATCTGCAAGTGAATATTTGGAGCCCTATTTCGCCCTATACTGGAAAAGCAAATATCTTCAAATAAAAACTACACAGAGGCATTCAGAGAAACTTCTCTGTGATGAGTGCATTCATCACACAGAGTTGAACATTTGTTTAGATTTAGCAGTGTTGAGACAATCTTTCCGTAGAATCTTGAAGTGAATATTTGGAGGGCTTTGAGACCTGCTTTGGAGAAGGAGATATCTTCATATAAAAACTACACAGAAGCTTTCTGAGAAACACCCTTGTGAGGTGTGCATTGAAGTCACAGAGTTAAACCTATCTTTTGATTCAGCAGATTTGAATCTCTCTTTTTGCAGAATCTGCGAGTGGATATTTGGAGTGCTTGGAAGCCTGCTGTGGAAAATCAAATATCTTCACAAAAAAAACTACACAGAAGCATTCTGAGAAACTTCTTTGTGATGTGTGCATTGATCTCACAGAGTTGAAAGTTTATTTTGATTGAGCTGTTTTGAAACACTCTTTTTCTAGAATCTGCAAGTGGATAATTGGGGAGATTTGAGGCATATTGTGGAAAAGCAAATATCTTCATATAAAAAGTATACAGAAACCTTCTGAGAAACATCTTTGTGATGTGTGCATTCAGCTCACAGAGCTGGACGTAACTTTCGAGTGACCAGTTTTGAATCTCTCTTTTTGTACAATATGCAAGTGGATATTTGGAGCGATTTGAGGCCTACATTTGAAAATCAAATATCTTCCCTTAAAAACTACACAGAAACATTCTCAGAAATTGTTTGTCATGTGTGCTTTCCAATTACCAAGTTGAACCTATCTTGTGATTGAGCAGTTTTGAATCTCTCTTTTTGTGGAATCGGCAAGTGGATATTTTTAGCCCTTTGCGGACTGTGGTGGAAAAGGAATTATCTTCAAATCAATTCTACACAGAAGCATTCAGACAAACTTCTTTGTGATGAGTGCATTGGTCACACAGAATTGAACCTTCCCTTTGATTGAGCAATTCTGAAACACTCTTTTGGAGGGTCTGCAAGTGGATATTTTAGAGCTTTGGGACAACTGTGGAAAAGTAAATATCTTCACATAAAAACTACACGGAAGCATTCTGAGAAACTTCTTTGGAGGTGTGCATTCAACTCACAGAGTTGAACCTATCTTTTCATTGAGCAGTTTTGAATCTCTCATTTTGTAGACTCTGCTCGCAGATATTTGGAGAGCTTTGAGGCCTATTGTGGAAAAGGAAATATCTTCACATAAAAACACACAGAAGCACTCTGAGAAATTTCTTTGTGAGGTGTGCTTTCAACTCACAGATTTGAACCTATCTTTTGATTGAGAAGTTTTGAATCTCTCTTTTTGTAGAAGCTGCATGTGGATATTTGGAAACGTTTGTGGCCTATGGTAGAAAAGGAAATATCTTCAAATAAAAACTAGACAGACGCATTTTGAGAAAATTCTCTGTGCTGTGTGCATTCATATCACATGGTTGAAACTACCTTTGGATTGAGCAGTTTTGAATCTCACTTTTTGTACCATCTGCAATGGATATTTGGAGCCCTTTCTGGTCTGTGGTGGAAAAGGAACTATCCTCAAATAGAAACTACACAGAAGTACTCTGAGAAACTTCTTTGTGATGTGGGCATTCATCTCACAGAGTTGAACCTTTGGTTTGATTGAGCAGTTTTGAGACAATCTTTCCATAGAATCTGGAAGTGAATATTTGGAGAACTTTGGGATCCATTTTGGAGAAGGAGATATCTTTATATGAAAACTACACAGAAGCATTCTGAGAAACATCCTTGTGAGGTGTGCACTGAAGTCACAGAGTTGAAACTGTCTTTTGATTCAGCAGTTTTGAATCTCTCTTTTTGCAGAATCTGTGAGTGGATATTTGGAGCGCTTTGAGGCCTACTGTGGAAAACCAAATATCTTCACATAAAAACTACACAGAAGCATCCTGAGAAACTTTTTTTGTGATGTGGTCTTTCAGCTAATGGAGTAGAAACTATCTTTTGATTGAGCAGTTTTGAATCTCTCTTTTTGCAGGATCTACGAGTGGATAATTGGAGAACTTTGAGGCGTACTGTGGAAAATCGAATATCTTCGCATAAAAACTACACAGAAGCATTCTGAGAAACTTCTCTGTCATACGTACATTCATCTCACAGGGTTGATCCTATTTCATGATTGAGCAGTTTTGGAACACTCTTTTTGTAGAATCTGCAAGTGAATATTTGGAGCTCTTTGGGGCCTACTGTGGAAAAACAAATATCTTCACATAAAAACTACACAGAAGCATTCTGAGAAACTACTTTGTGATGTGTGCATTCATCCCACAGAGTAGAACCTTTCTTTTGATTGAGCAGTTTCGAAACACACTTTTGGTGGAATCTGCAAGTGGACATTCGGAAAGCTTTGAGGCCTATTGTGGAAAGGGAAATATCTTCAAATAAAAACCACCCAGAAGTACTCTGTGAAACTTCTTTGCGATGTATGCATTCAACTCACAGTGTTGAACCTATGTTTTGATTGAGCAGTTTGGAATCTCTCTTTCTGTAGAATCTGCAAGTGAATATTTGGAGCCCTATTTCGCCCTATACTGGAAAAGCAATTATCTTCAAATAAAAACTGCACAGAAGCACTCAGAGAAACTTCTTTGTGATGAATGCATTCATCACACAGAGTTGAACCTTTGTTTTGATTCAGCAGTTTGAGACAATCTTTCCGTAGAATCTTGAAGTGAATATTTGGAGGGCTTGGAGTTCTGTTTTAGAGAAGAAGATATCTTCATCAAAAACTACACAGAAGCTTTCCGAGAAACTTCTTTGTGATGTGTGCATTCAACTATCGGAGTTGAACCTATCTTATGATTGAGGAGTTTGGAAACACTCTTTGTAGAGTCTGCAAGTGGATATTTACAGAGATTTGAGGCCTATTGTGGAAAAGGAAGTATCTTCACATAAAAACCACACAGAAGCACTCTGAAAAAAATCTTTGGGATATGTGCATTCAACTAACCGTGTTGAAACAATGTTTTGATTGAGCAGCTTAGAATCTCTATTTTTGTAGGAAATGCAAGTGGATATTTGGAGCCCCATTTCGCCCTATGGTGGAAAACGAAACATACTCACAAAAAAGCTGCAGAGAAAGCATTCTGAGAAACTTCTTTGCGATGTTGGCATTCAACTCACAGAGTCGAATCTATCTTTTGATAGAGCAGTTTTGTATCTCTCTTTTTGCAGAATCTGCAAGTGGATATTTGGAAAGCTTTGAGGCCTATTGTGGAAAGGGAAATATCCTCAAATAAAAACTACCCAGAAGCACTCTGTGAAATTTTTGTGATGTGTGCATTCAACTCACAATGTTGAACCTATATTTTGATTGAGCAGTTTGGAATCTTTCTTTTTGTAGAATCTGCAAGTGAATATTTGGAGCCCTATTTCGCCCCATACTGGAAAAGCAAATATCTTCAAATAAAAACTACACAGAGGCATTCAGAGAAACTTCTCTGTGATGAGTGCATTCATCACACAGAGTTGAACATTTGTTTAGATTTAGCAGTGTTGAGACAATCTTTCCGTAGAATCTTGAAGTGAATATTTGGAGGGCTTTGAGACCTGCTTTGGAGAAGGAGATATCTTCATATAAAAACTACACAGAAGCTTTCTGAGAAACACCCTTGTGAGGTGTGCATTGAAGTCACAGAGTTAAACCTATCTTTTGATTCAGCAGATTTGAATCTCTCTTTTTGCAGAATCTGCGAGTGGATATTTGGAGTGCTTGGAAGCCTGCTGTGGAAAATCAAATATCTTCACAAAAAAAACTACACAGAAGCATTCTGAGAAACTTCTTTGTGATGTGTGCATTGATCTCACAGAGTTGAAAGTTTATTTGGATTGAGCTGTTTTGAAACACTCTTTTTCTAGAATCTGCAAGTGGATAATTGGGGAGATTTGAGGCATATTGTGGAAAAGCAAATATCTTCATATAGAAACTATACAGAAACCTTCTGAGAAACATCTTTGTGATGTGTGCATTCAGCTCACAGAGCTGGACCTAACTTTTGAGTGACCAGTTTTGAATCTCTCTTTTTGTACAATATGCAAGTGGATATTTGGAGCGATTTGAGGCCTACATTTGAAAATCAAATATCTTCCCTTAAAAACTACACAGAAACATTCTCAGAAATTGTTTGTCATGTGTGCTTTCCAATTACCAAGTTGAACCTATCTTGTGATTGAGCAGTTTTGAATCTCTCTTTTTGTGGAATCGGCAAGTGGATATTTTTAGCCCTTTGCGGACTGTGGTGGAAAAGGAATTATCTTCAAATCAATTCTACACAGGAAGCATTCAGACAAACTTCTTTGTGATGAGTGCATTGGTCACACAGAATTGAACCTTCCCTTTGATTGAGCAATTCTGAAACACTCTTTTGGAGGGTCTGCAAGTGGACATTTTAGAGCTTTGGGACAACTGTGGAAAAGTAAATATCTTCACATAAAAACTGCACGGAAGCATTCTGAGAAACTTCTTTGGAGGTGTGCATTCAACTCACAGAGTTGAACCTATCTTTTCATTGAGCAGTTTTGAATCTCTCATTTTGTAGACTCTGCTCGCAGATATTTGGAGAGCTTTGAGGCCTATTGTGGAAAAGGAAATATCTTCACATAAAAACACACAGAAGCACTCTGAGAAACTTCTTTGTGAGGTGTGCTTTCAACTCACAGAGTTGAACCTATCTTTTGATTGAGAAGTTTTGAATCTCTCTTTTTGTAGAAGCTGCATGTGGATATTTGGAGACGTTTGTGGCCTATGGTAGAAAAGGAAATATCTTCAAATAAAAACTAGACAGACGCATTTTGAGAAAATTCTCTGTGCTGTGTGCATTCATATCACATGGTTGAAACTACCTTTGGATTGAGCAGTTTTGAATCTCACTTTTTGTACCATCTGCAATGGATATTTGGAGCCCTTTCTGGTCTGTGGTGGAAAAGGAACTATCCTCAAATAGAAACTACACAGAAGCACTCTGAGAAACTTCTTTGTGATGTGGGCATTCATCTCACAGAGTTGAACCTTTGGTTTGATTGAGCAGTTTTGAGACAATCTTTCCATAGAATCTGGAAGTGAATATTTGGAGAACTTTGAGATCCATTTTGGAGAAGGAGATATCTTTATATGAAAACTACACAGAAGCATTCTGAGAAACATCCTTGTGAGGTGTGCACTGAAGTCACAGAGTTGAAACTGTCTTTTGATTCAGCAGTTTTGAATCTCTCTTTTTGCAGAATCTGTGAGTGGATATTTGGAGCGCTTTGAGGCCTACTGTGGAAAACCAAATATCTTCACATAAAAACTACACAGAAGCATCCTGAGAAACTTTTTTTGTGATGTGGTCTTTCAGCTAATGGAGTAGAAACTATCTTTTGATTGAGCAGTTTTGAATCTCTCTTTTTGCAGGATCTACGAGTGGATAATTGGAGAACTTTGAGGCGTACTGTGGAAAATCGAATATCTTCGCATAAAAACTACACAGAAGCATTCTGAGAAACTTCTCTGTCATACGTACATTCATCTCACAGGGTTGATCCTATTTCATGATTGAGCAGTTTTGGAACACTCTTTTTGTAGAATCTGCAAGTGAATATTTGGAGCTCTTTGGGGCCTACTGTGGAAAAACAAATATCTTCACATAAAAACTACACAGAAGCATTCTGGGAAACTACTTTGTGATGTGTGCATTCATCCCACAGAGTAGAACCTTTCTTTTGATTGAGCAGTTTCGAAACACTCTTTTGGTGGAATCTGCAAGTGGACATTTGGAAAGCTTTGAGGCCTATTGTGGAAAGGGAAATATCTTCAAATAAAAACCACCCAGAAGTACTCTGTGAAACTTCTTTGCGATGTATGCATTCAACTCACAGTGTTGAACCTATGTTTTGATTGAGCAGTTTGGAATCTCTCTTTCTGTAGAATCTGCAAGTGAATATTTGGAGCCCTATTTCGCCCTATACTGGAAAAGCAATTATCTTCAAATAAAAACTGCACAGAAGCATTCAGAGAAACTTCTTTGAGATGAATGCATTCATGACACAGAGTTGAAACTTTGTTTTGATTTAGGAGTTTTGAGACAATCTTTCCGTAGAATCTTGAAGTGAATATTTGGAGGGCTTGGAGTTCTGTTTTAGAGAAGAAGATATCTTCATCAAAAACTACACAGAAGCTTTCTGAGAAACTTCTTTGTGATGTGTGCATTCAACTATTGGAGTTGAACCTATCTTATGATTGAGCAGTTTGGAAACACTCTTTGTAGAGTCTGCAAGTGGATATTTACAGAGATTTGAGGCCTATTGTGGAAAAGGAAGTATCTTCACATAAAAATCACACAGAAGCACTCTGAGAAACATCTTTGGGATGTGTGCATTCAACTAACCGTGTTGAAACAATGTTTTGATTGAGCAGCTTAGAATCTCTCTTTTTGTAGGAAATGCAAGTGGATATTTGGAGCCCCATTTCGCCCTATGGTGGAAAACGAAACATACTCACAAAAAAGCTGCAGAGAAGCATTCTGAGAAACTTCTTTGCGATGTTGGCATTCAACTCACAGAGTCGAATCTATCTTTTGATAGAGCAGTTTTGTATCTCTCTTTTTGCAGAATCTGCAAGTGGATATTTGGAAAGCTTTGAGGCCTATTGTGGAAAGGGAAATATCCTCAAATAAAAACTACCCAGAAGCACTCTGTGAAACTTCTTTGTGATGTGTGCATTCAACTCACAGTGTTGAACCTATGTTTTGATTGAGCAGTTTGGAATCTCTCCTTTTGTAGAATCTGCAAGTGAATATTTGGAGCCCTATTTCGCCCTATACTGGAAAAGCAAATATCTTCAAATAAAAACTACACAGAGGCATTCAGAGAAACTTCTCTGTGATGAGTGCATTCATCACACAGAGTTGAACATTTGTTTAGATTTAGCATTGTTGAGACAATCTTTCAGTAGAATCTTGAAGTGAATATTTGGAGGGCTTTGAGACCTGCTTTGGAGAAGGAGATATCTTCATATAAAAACTACACAGAAGCTTTCTGAGAAACACCCTTGTGAGGTGTGCATTGAAGTCACAGAGTTAAACCTATCTTTTGATTCAGCAGATTTGAATCTCTCTTTTTGCAGAATCTGCGAGTGGATATTTGGAGTGCTTGGAAGCCTGCTGTGGAAAATCAAATATCTTCACAAAAAAAACTACACAGAAGCATTCTGAGAAACTTCTTTGTGATGTGTGCATTGATCTCACAGAGTTGAAAGTTTATTTTGATTGAGCTGTTTTGAAACACTCTTTTTCTAGAATCTGCAAGTGGATAATTGGGGAGATTTGAGGCATATTGTGGAAAAGCAAATATCTTCATATAAAAACTATACAGAAACCTTCTGAGAAACATCTTTGTGATGTGTGCATTCAGCTCACAGAGCTGGACCTAACTTTTGAGTGACCAGTTTTGAATCTCTCTTTTTGTACAATATGCAAGTGGATATTTGGAGCGATTTGAGGCCTACATTTGAAAATCAAATATCTTCCCTTAAAAACTACACAGAAACATTCTCAGAAATTGTTTGTCATGTGTGCTTTCCAATTACCAAGTTGAACCTATCTTGTGATTGAGCAGTTTTGAATCTCTCTTTTTGTGGAATCGGCAAGTGGATATTTTTAGCCCTTTGCGGACTGTGGTGGAAAAGGAATTATCTTCAAATCAATTCTACACAGAAGCATTCAGACAAACTTCTTTGTGATGAGTGCATTGGTCACACAGAATTGAACCTTCCCTTTGATTGAGCAATTCTGAAACACTCTTTTGGAGGGTCTGCAAGTGGACATTTTAGAGCTTTGGGACAACTGTGGAAAAGTAAATATCTTCACATAAAAACTACACGGAAGCATTCTGAGAAACTTCTTTGGAGGTGTGCATTCAACTCACAGAGTTGAACCTATCTTTTCATTGAGCAGTTTTGAATCTCTCATTTTGTAGACTCTGCTCGCAGATATTTGGAGAGCTTTGAGGCCTATTGTGGAAAAGGAAATATCTTCACATAAAAACACACAGAAGCACTCTGAGAAACTTCTTTGTGAGGTGTGCTTTCAACTCACAGAGTTGAACCTATCTTTTGATTGAGAAGTTTTGAATCTCTCTTTTTGTAGAAGCTGCATGTGGATATTTGGAGACGTTTGTGGCCTATGGTAGAAAAGGAAATATCTTCAAATAAAAACTAGACAGACGCATTTTGAGAAAATTCTCTGTGCTGTGTGCATTCATATCACATGGTTGAAACTACCTTTGGATTGAGCAGTTTTGAATCTCACTTTTTGTACCATCTGCAATGGATATTTGGAGCCCTTTCTGGTCTGTGGTGGAAAAGGAACTATCCTCAAATAGAAACTACACAGAAGTACTCTGAGAAACTTCTTTGTGATGTGGGCATTCATCTCACAGAGTTGAACCTTTGGTTTGATTGAGCAGTTTTGAGACAATCTTTCCATAGAATCTGGAAGTGAATATTTGGAGAACTTTGAGATCCATTTTGGAGAAGGAGATATCTTTATATAAAAACTACACAGAAGCATTCTGAGAAACATCCTTGTGAGGTGTGCACTGAAGTCACAGAGTTGAAACTGTCTTTTGATTCAGCAGTTTTGAATCTCTCTTTTTGCAGAGTCTGTGAGCGGATATTTGGAGCGCTTTGAGGCCTACTGTGGAAAACCAATATATGTTCACATAAAAACTACACAGAAGCATCCTGAGAAACTTTTTTTGTGATGTGGTCTTTCAGCTAATGGAGTAGAAACTATCTTTTGATTGAGCAGTTTTGAATCTCTCTTTTTGCAGAATCTACGAGTGGATAATTGGAGAACTTTGAGGCGTACTGTGGAAAATCGAATATCTTCGCATAAAAACTACACAGAAGCATTCTGAGAAACTTCTCTGTCATACGTACATTCATCTCACAGGGTTGATCCTATTTCATGATTGAGCAGTTTCGGAACACTCTTTTTGTAGAATCTGCAAGTGAATATTTGGAGCTCCCTTGGGGCCTACTGTGGAAAAACAAATATCTTCACATAAAAACTACACAGAAAGCATTCTGAGAAACTACTTTGTGATGTGTGCATTCATCCCACAGAGTAGAACCTTTCTTTTGATTGAGCAGTTTCGAAACACTCTTTTGGTGGAATCTGCAAGTGGACATTTGGAAAGCTTTGAGGCCTATTGTGGAAAGGGAAATATCTTCAAATAAAAACCACCCAGAAGTACTCTGTGAAACTTCTTTGCGATGTATGCATTCAACTCACAGTGTTGAACCTATGTTTTGATTGAGCAGTTTGGAATCTCTCTTTCTGTAGAATCTGCAAGTGAATATTTGGAGCCCTATTTCGCCCTATACTGGAAAAGCAATTATCTTCAAATAAAAACTGCACAGAAGCACTCAGAGAAACTTCTTTGTGATGAATGCATTCATCACACAGAGTTGAACCTTTGTTTTGATTTAGCAGTTTGAGACAATCTTTCCGTAGAATCTTGAAGTGAATATTTGGAGGGCTTGGAGTTCTGTTTTAGAGAAGAAGATATCTTCATCAAAAACTACACAGAAGCTTTCCGAGAAACTTCTTTGTGATGTGTGCATTCAACTATCGGAGTTGAACCTATCTTATGATTGAGCAGTTTGGAAACACTCTTTGTAGAGTCTGCAAGTGGATATTTACAGAGATTTGAGGCCTATTGTGGAAAAGGAAGTATCTTCACATAAAAACCACACAGAAGCACTCTGAAAAACATCTTTGGGATGTGTGCATTCAACTAACCGTGTTGAAACAATGTTTTGATTGAGCAGCTTAGAATCTCTCTTTTTGTAGGAAATGCAAGTGGATATTTGGAGCCCCATTTCGCCCTATGGTGGAAAACGAAACATACTCACAAAAAAGCTGCAGAGAAGCATTCTGAGAAACTTCTTTGCGATGTTGGCATTCAACTCACAGAGTCGAATCTATCTTTTGATAGAGCAGTTTTGTATCTCTCTTTTTGCAGAATCTGCAAGTGGATATTTGGAAAGCTTTGAGGCCTATTGTGGAAAGGGAAATATCCTCAAATAAAAACTACCCAGAAGCACTCTGTGAAACTTCTTTGTGATGTGTGCATTCAACTCACAGTGTTGAACCTATGTTTTGATTGAGCAGTTTGGAATCTCTCCTTTTGTAGAATCTGCAAGTGAATATTTGGAGCCCTATTTCGCCCTATACTGGAAAAGCAAATATCTTCAAATAAAAACTACACAGAGGCATTCAGAGAAACTTCTCTGTGATGAGTGCATTCATCACACAGAGTTGAACATTTGTTTAGATTTAGCAGTGTTGAGACAATCTTTCCGTAGAATCTTGAAGTGAATATTTGGAGGGCTTTGAGACCTGCTTTGGAGAAGGAGATATCTTCATATAAAAACTACACAGAAGCTTTCTGAGAAACACCCTTGTGAGGTGTGCATTGAAGTCACAGAGTTAAACCTATCTTTTGATTCAGCAGATTTGAATCTCTCTTTTTGCAGAATCTGCGAGTGGATATTTGGAGTGCTTGGAAGCCTGCTGTGGAAAATCAAATATCTTCACAAAAAAAACTACACAGAAGCATTCTGAGAAACTTCTTTGTGATGTGTGCATTGATCTCACAGAGTTGAAAGTTTATTTTGATTGAGCTGTTTTGAAACACTCTTTTTCTAGAATCTGCAAGTGGATAATTGGGGAGATTTGAGGCATATTGTGGAAAAGCAAATATCTTCATATAGAAACTATACAGAAACCTTCTGAGAAACATCTTTGTGATGTGTGCATTCAGCTCACAGAGCTGGACCTAACTTTTGAGTGACCAGTTTTGAATCTCTCTTTTTGTACAATATGCAAGTGGAGCGATTTGAGGCCTACATTTGAAAATCAAATATCTTCCCTTAAAAACTACACAGAAACATTCTCAGAAATTGTTTGTCATGTGTGCTTTCCAATTACCAAGTTGAACCTATCTTGTGATTGAGCAGTTTTGAATCTCTCTTTTTGTGGAATCGGCAAGTGGATATTTTTAGCCCTTTGCGGACTGTGGTGGAAAAGGAATTATCTTCAAATCAATTCTACACAGAAGCATTCAGACAAACTTCTTTGTGATGAGTGCATTGGTCACACAGAATTGAACCTTCCCTTTGATTGAGCAATTCTGAAACACTCTTTTGGAGGGTCTGCAAGTGGACATTTTAGAGCTTTGGGACAACTGTGGAAAAGTAAATATCTTCACATAAAAACTGCACGGAAGCATTCTGAGAAACTTCTTTGGAGGTGTGCATTCAACTCACAGAGTTGAACCTATCTTTTCATTGAGCAGTTTTGAATCTCTCATTTTGTAGACTCTGCTCGCAGATATTTGGAGAGCTTTGAGGCCTATTGTGGAAAAGGAAATATCTTCACATAAAAACACACAGAAGCACTCTGAGAAACTTCTTTGTGAGGTGTGCTTTCAACTCACAGAGTTGAACCTATCTTTTGATTGAGAAGTTTTGAATCTCTCTTTTTGTAGAAGCTGCATGTGGATATTTGGAGACGTTTGTGGCCTATGGTAGAAAAGGAAATATCTTCAAATAAAAACTAGACAGGCGCATTTTGAGAAAATTCTCTGTGCTGTGTGCATTCATATCACATGGTTGAAACTACCTTTGGATTGAGCAGTTTTGAATCTCACTTTTTGTACCATCTGCAATGGATATCTGGAGCCCTTTCTGGTCTGTGGTGGAAAAGGAACTATCCTCAAGTAGAAACTACACAGAAGTACTCTGAGAAACTTCTTTGTGATGTGTGCATTCATCTCACAGAGTTGAACCTTTGGTTTGATTGAGCAGTTTTGAGACAATCTTTCCATAGAATCTGGAAGTGAATATTTGGAGAACTTTGAGATCCATTTTGGAGAAGGAGATATCTTTATATAAAAACTACACAGAAGCATTCTGAGAAACATCCTTGTGAGGTGTGCACTGAAGTCACAGAGTTGAAACTGTCTTTTGATTCAGCAGTTTTGAATCTCTCTTTTTGCAGAATCTGTGAGTGGATATTTGGAGCGCTTTGAGGCCTACTGTGGAAAACCAAATATCTTCACATAAAAACTACACAGAAGCATCCTGAGAAACTTTTTTTGTGATGTGGTCTTTCAGCTAATGGAGTAGAAACTATCTTTTGATTGAGCAGTTTTGAATCTCTCTTTTTGCAGAATCTACGAGTGGATAATTGGAGAACTTTGAGGCGTACTGTGGAAAATCGAATATCTTCGCATAAAAACTACACTGAAGCATTCTGAGAAACTTCTCTGTCATACGTACATTCATCTCACAGAGTTGATCCTATTTCATGATTGAGCAGTTTTGGAACACTCTTTTTGTAGAATCTGCAAGTGAATATTTGGAGCTCTTTGGGGCCTACTGTGGAAAAACAAATATCTTCACATAAAAACTACACAGAAGCATTCTGAGAAACTACTTTGTGATGTGTGCATTCATCCCACAGAGTAGAACCTTTCTTTTGATTGAGCAGTTTCGAAACACTCTTTTGGTGGAATCTGCAAGTGGACATTTGGAAAGCTTTGAGGCCTATTGTGGAAAGGGAAATATCTTCAAATAAAAACCACCCAGAAGTACTCTGTGAAACTTCTTTGCGATGTATGCATTCAACTCACAGTGTTGAACCTATGTTTTGATTGAGCAGTTTGGAATCTCTCTTTCTGTAGAATCTGCAAGTGAATATTTGGAGCCCTATTTCGCCCTATACTGGAAAAGCAATTATCTTCAAATAAAAACTGCACAGAAGCACTCAGAGAAACTTCTTTGTGATGAATGCATTCATCACACAGAGTTGAACCTTTGTTTTGATTTAGCAGTTTGAGACAATCTTTCCGTAGAATCTTGAAGTGAATATTTGGAGGGCTTGGAGTTCTGTTTTAGAGAAGGAGATATCTTCATCAAAAACTACACAGAAGCTTTCCGAGAAACTTCTTTGTGATGTGTGCATTCAACTATCGGAGTTGAACCTATCTTATGATTGAGCAGTTTGGAAACACTCTTTGTAGAGTCTGCAAGTGGATATTTACAGAGATTTGAGGCCTATTGTGGAAAAGGAAGTATCTTCACATAAAAACCACACAGAAGCACTCTGAAAAACATCTTTGGGATGTGTGCATTCAACTAACCGTGTTGAAACAATGTTTTGATTGAGCAGCTTAGAATCTCTCTTTTTGTAGGAAATGCAAGTGGATATTTGGAGCCCCATTTCGCCCTATGGTGGAAAACGAAACATACTCACAAAAAAGCTGCAGAGAAGCATTCTGAGAAACTTCTTTGCGATGTTGGCATTCAACTCACAGAGTCGAATCTATCTTTTGATAGAGCAGTTTTGTATCTCTCTTTTTGCAGAATCTGCAAGTGGATATTTGGAAAGCTTTGAGGCCTATTGTGGAAAGGGAAATATCCTCAAATAAAAACTACCCAGAAGCACCCTGTGAAACTTCTTTGTGATGTGTGCATTCAACTCACAGTGTTGAACCTATGTTTTGATTGAGCAGTTTGGAATCTCTCCTTTTGTAGAATCTGCAAGTGAATATTTGGAGCCCTATTTCGCCCTATACTGGAAAAGCAAATATCTTCAAATAAAAACTACACAGAGGCCTTCAGAGAAACTTCTCTGTGATGAGTGCATTCATCACACAGAGTTGAACATTTGTTTAGATTTAGCAGTGTTGAGACAATCTTTCCGTAGAATCTTGAAGTGAATATTTGGAGGGCTTTGAGACCTGCTTTGGAGAAGGAGATATCTTCATATAAAAACTACACAGAAGCTTTCTGAGAAACACCCTTGTGAGGTGTGCATTGAAGTCACAGAGTTAAACCTATCTTTTGATTCAGCAGATTTGAATCTCTCTTTTTGCAGAATCTGCGAGTGGATATTTGGAGTGCTTGGAAGCCTGCTGTGGAAAATCAAATATCTTCACAAAAAAAACTACACAGAAGCATTCTGAGAAACTTCTTTGTGATGTGTGCATTGATCTCACAGAGTTGAAAGTTTATTTTGATTGAGCTGTTTTGAAACACTCTTTTTCTAGAATCTGCAAGTGGATAATTGGGGAGATTTGAGGCATATTGTGGAAAAGCAAATATCTTCATATAGAAACTATACAGAAACCTTCTGAGAAACATCTTTGTGATGTGTGCATTCAGCTCACAGAGCTGGACCTAACTTTTGAGTGACCAGTTTTGAATCTCTCTTTTTGTACAATATGCAAGTGGATATTTGGAGCGATTTGAGGCCTACATTTGAAAATCAAATATCTTCCCTTAAAAACTACACAGAAACATTCTCAGAAATTGTTTGTCATGTGTGCTTTCCAATTACCAAGTTGAACCTATCTTGTGATTGAGCAGTTTTGAATCTCTCTTTTTGTGGAATCGGCAAGTGGATATTTTTAGCCCTTTGCGGACTGTGGTGGAAAAGGAATTATCTTCAAATCAATTCTACACAGAAGCATTCAGACAAACTTCTTTGTGATGAGTGCATTGGTCACACAGAATTGAACCTTCCCTTTGATTGAGCAATTATGAAACACTCTTTTGGAGGG
This sequence comes from Homo sapiens, assembly GCF_000001405.40. NCBI lineage: Eukaryota > Metazoa > Chordata > Mammalia > Primates > Hominidae > Homo > Homo sapiens. The sequence goes on from NC_000015.10 coordinate 17,710,862, forward strand.
TCTGCAAGTGGATATTTTAGAGCTTTGGGACAACTGTGGAAAAGTAAATATCTTCACATAAAAACTACACGGAAGCATTCTGAGAAACTTCTTTGGAGGTGTGCATTCAACTCACAGAGTTGAACCTATCTTTTCATTGAGCAGTTTTGAATCTCTCATTTTGTAGACTCTGCTCGCAGATATTTGGAGAGCTTTGAGGCCTATTGTGGAAAAGGAAATATCTTCACATAAAAACACACAGAAGCACTCTGAGAAACTTCTTTGTGAGGTGTGCTTTCAACTCACAGAGTTGAACCTATCTTTTGATTGAGAAGTTTTGAATCTCTCTTTTTGTAGAAGCTGCATGTGGATATTTGGAGACGTTTGTGGCCTATGGTAGAAAAGGAAATATCTTCAAATAAAAACTAGACAGACGCATTTTGAGAAAATTCTCTGTGCTGTGTGCATTCATATCACATGGTTGAAACTACCTTTGGATTGAGCAGTTTTGAATCCCACTTTTTGTACCATCTGCAATGGATATTTGGAGCCCTTTCTGGTCTGTGGTGGAAAAGGAACTATCCTCAAATAGAAACTACACAGAAGTACTCTGAGAAACTTCTTTGTGATGTGGGCATTCATCTCACAGAGTTGAACCTTTGGTTTGATTGAGCAGTTTTGAGACAATCTTTCCATAGAATCTGGAAGTGAATATTTGGAGAACTTTGAGATCCATTTTGGAGAAGGAGATATCTTTATATGAAAACTACACAGAAGCATTCTGAGAAACATCCTTGTGAGGTGTGCACTGAAGTCACAGAGTTGAAACTGTCTTTTGATTCAGCAGTTTTGAATCTCTCTTTTTGCAGAATCTGTGAGTGGATATTTGGAGCGCTTTGAGGCCTACTGTGGAAAACCAAATATCTTCACATAAAAACTACACAGAAGCATCCTGAGAAACTTTTTTTGTGATGTGGTCTTTCAGCTAATGGAGTAGAAACTATCTTTTGATTGAGCAGTTTTGAATCTCTCTTTTTGCAGAATCTACGAGTGGATAATTGGAGAACTTTGAGGCGTACTGTGGAAAATCGAATATCTTCGCATAAAAACTACACAGAAGCATTCTGAGAAACTTCTCTGTCATACGTACATTCATCTCACAGGGTTGATCCTATTTCATGATTGAGCAGTTTTGGAACACTCTTTTTGTAGAATCTGCAAGTGAATATTTGGAGCTCTTTGGGGCCTACTGTGGAAAAACAACTATCTTCACATAAAAACTGCACAGAAGCATTCTGAGAAACTACTTTGTGATGTGTGCATTCATCCCACAGAGTAGAACCTTTCTTTTGATTGAGCAGTTTCGAAACACTCTTTTGGTGGAATCTGCAAGTGGACATTTGGAAAGCTTTGAGGCCTATTGTGGAAAGGGAAATATCTTCAAATAAAAACCACCCAGAAGTACTCTGTGAAACTTCTTTGCGATGTATGCATTCAACTCACAGTGTTGAACCTATGTTTTGATTGAGCAGTTTGGAATCTCTCTTTCTGTAGAATCTGCAAGTGAATATTTGGAGCCCTATTTCGCCCTATACTGGAAAAGCAATTATCTTCAAATAAAAACTGCACAGAAGCACTCAGAGAAACTTCTTTGTGATGAATGCATTCATCACACAGAGTTGAACCTTTGTTTTGATTTAGCAGTTTGAGACAATCTTTCCGTAGAATCTTGAAGTGAATATTTGGAGGGCTTGGAGTTCTGTTTTAGAGAAGGAGATATCTTCATCAAAAACTACACAGAAGCTTTCTGAGAAACTTCTTTGTGATGTGTGCATTCAACTATCGGAGTTGAACCTATCTTATGATTGAGCAGTTTGGAAACACTCTTTGTAGAGTCTGCAAGTGGATATTTACAGAGATTTGAGGCCTATTGTGGAAAAGGAAGTATCTTCACATAAAAACCACACAGAAGCACTCTGAAAAACATCTTTGGGATGTGTGCATTCAACTAACCGTGTTGAAACAATGTTTTGATTGAGCAGCTTAGAATCTCTCTTTTTGTAGGAAATGCAAGTGGATATTTGGAGCCCCATTTCGCCCTATGGTGGAAAACGAAACATACTCACAAAAAAGCTGCAGAGAAGCATTCTGAGAAACTTCTTTGCGATGTTGGCATTCAACTCACAGAGTCGAATCTATCTTTTGATAGAGCAGTTTTGTATCTCTCTTTTTGCAGAATCTGCAAGTGGATATTTGGAAAGCTTTGAGGCCTATTGTGGAAAGGGAAATATCCTCAAATAAAAACTACCCAGAAGCACTCTGTGAAACTTCTTTGTGATGTGTGCATTCAACTCACAGTGTTGAACCTATGTTTTGATTGAGCAGTTTGGAATCTCTCCTTTTGTAGAATCTGCAAGTGAATATTTGGAGCCCTATTTCGCCCTATACTGGAAAAGCAAATATCTTCAAATAAAAACTACACAGAGGCATTCAGAGAAACTTCTCTGTGATGAGTGCATTCATCACACAGAGTTGAACATTTGTTTAGATTTAGCAGTGTTGAGACAATCTTTCCGTAGAATCTTGAAGTGAATATTTGGAGGGCTTTGAGACCTGCTTTGGAGAAGGAGATATCTTCATATAAAAACTACACAGAAGCTTTCTGAGAAACACCATTGTGAGGTGTGCATTGAAGTCACAGAGTTAAACCTATCTTTTGATTCAGCAGATTTGAGTCTCTCTTTTTGCAGAATCTGCGAGTGGATATTTGGAGTGCTTGGAAGCCTGCTGTGGAAAATCAAATATCTTCACAAAAAAAACTACACAGAAGCATTCTGAGAAACTTCTTTGTGATGTGTGCATTGATCTCACAGAGTTGAAAGTTTATTTTGATTGAGCTGTTCTGAAACACTCTTTTTCTAGAATCTGCAAGTGGATAATTGGGGAGATTTGAGGCATATTGTGGAAAAGCAAATATCTTCATATAGAAACTATACAGAAACCTTCTGAGAAACATCTTTTTGATGTGTGCATTCAGCTCACAGAGCTGGACCTAACTTTTGAGTGACCAGTTTTGAATCTCTCTTTTTGTACAATATGCAAGTGGATATTTGGAGCGATTTGAGGCCTACATTTGAAAATCAAATATCTTCCCTTAAAAACTACACAGAAACATTCTCAGAAATTGTTTGTCATGTGTGCTTTCCAATTACCAAGTTGAACCTATCTTGTGATTGAGCAGTTTTGAATCTCTCTTTTTGTGGAATCGGCAAGTGGATATTTTTAGCCCTTTGTGGACTGTGGTGGAAAAGGAATTATCTTCAAATCAATTCTACACAGAAAGCATTCAGACAAACTTCTTTGTGATGAGTGCATTGGTCACACAGGAATTGAACCTTCCCTTTGATTGAGCAATTCTGAAACACTCTTTTGGAGGGTCTGCAAGTGGATATTTTAGAGCTTTGGGACAACTGTGGAAAAGTAAATATCTTCACATAAAAACTACACGGAAGCATTCTGAGAAACTTCTTTGGAGGTGTGCATTCAACTCACAGAGTTGAACCTATCTTTTCATTGAGCAGTTTTGAATCTCTCATTTTGTAGACTCTGCTCGCAGATATTTGGAGAGCTTTGAGGCCTATTGTGGAAAAGGAAATATCTTCACATAAAAACACACAGAAGCACTCTGAGAAACTTCTCTGTGAGGTGTGCTTTCAACTCACAGAGTTGAACCTATCTTTTGATTGAGAAGTTTTGAATCTCTCTTTTTGTAGAAGCTGCATGTGGATATTTGGAGACGTTTGTGGCCTATGGTAGAAAAGGAAATATCTTCAAATAAAAACTAGACAGACGCATTTTGAGAAAATTCTCTGTGCTGTGTGCATTCATATCACATGGTTGAAACTACCTTTGGATTGAGCAGTTTTGAATCTCACTTTTTGTACCATCTGCAATGGATATTTGGAGCCCTTTCTGGTCTGTGGTGGAAAAGGAACTATCCTCAAATAGAAACTACACAGAAGTACTCTGAGAAACTTCTTTGTGATGTGGGCATTCATCTCACAGAGTTGAACCTTTGGTTTGATTGAGCAGTTTTGAGACAATCTTTCCATAGAATCTGGAAGTGAATATTTGGAGAACTTTGAGATCCATTTTGGAGAAGGAGATACCTTTATATGAAAACTACACAGAAGCATTCTGAGAAACATCCTTGTGAGGTGTGCACTGAAGTCACAGAGTTGAAACTGTCTTTTGATTCAGCAGTTTTGAATCTCTCTTTTTGCAGAATCTGTGAGTGGATATTTGGAGCGCTTTGAGGCCTACTGTGGAAAACCAAATATCTTCACATAAAAACTACACAGAAGCATCCTGAGAAACTTTTTTTGTGATGTGGTCTTTCAGCTAATGGAGTAGAAACTATCTTTTGATTGAGCAGTTTTGAATCTCTCTTTTTGCAGAATCTACGAGTGGATAATTGGAGAACTTTGAGGCGTACTGTGGAAAGTCGAATATCTTCGCATAAAAACTACACAGAAGCATTCTGAGAAACTTCTCTGTCATACGTACATTCATCTCACAGGGTTGATCCTATTTCATGATTGAGCAGTTTCGGAACACTCTTTTTGTAGAATCTGCAAGTGAATATTTGGAGCTCCTTGGGGCCTACTGTGGAAAAACAAATATCTTCACATAAAAACTACACAGAAGCATTCTGAGAAACTACTTTGTGATGTGTGCATTCATCCCACAGAGTAGAACCTTTCTTTTGATTGAGCAGTTTCGAAACACTCTTTTGGTGGAATCTGCAAGTGGACATTTGGAAAGCTTTGAGGCCTATTGTGGAAAGGGAAATATCTTCAAATAAAAACCACCCAGAAGTACTCTGTGAAACTTCTTTGCGATGTATGCATTCAACTCACAGTGTTGAACCTATGTTTTGATTGAGCAGTTTGGAATCTCTCTTTCTGTAGAATCTGCAAGTGAATATTTGGAGCCCTATTTCGCCCTATACTGGAAAAGCAATTATCTTCAAATAAAAACTGCACAGAAGCACTCAGAGAAGCTTCTTTGTGATGAATGCATTCATCACACAGAGTTGAACATTTGTTTTGATTTAGCAGTTTGAGACAATCTTTCCGTAGAATCTTGAAGTGAATATTTGGAGGGCTTGGAGTTCTGTTTTAGAGAAGAAGATATCTTCATCAAAAACTACACAGAAGCTTTCTGAGAAACTTCTTTGTGATGTGTGCATTCAACTATCGGAGTTGAACCTATCTTATGATTGAGGAGTTTGGAAACACTCTTTGTAGAGTCTGCAAGTGGATATTTACAGAGATTTGAGGCCTATTGTGGAAAAGGAAGTATCTTCACATAAAAACCACACAGAAGCACTCTGAAAAACATCTTTGGGATGTGTGCATTCAACTAACCGTGTTGAAACAATGTTTTGATTGAGCAGCTTAGAATCTCTCTTTTTGTAGGAAATGCAAGTGGATATTTGGAGCCCCATTTCGCCCTATGGTGGAAAACGAAACATACTCACAAAAAAGCTGCAGAGAAGCATTCTGAGAAACTTCTTTGCGATGTTGGCATTCAACTCACAGAGTCGAATCTATCTTTTGATAGAGCAGTTTTGTATCTCTCTTTTTGCAGAATCTGCAAGTGGATATTTGGAAAGCTTTGAGGCCTATTGTGGAAAGGGAAATATCCTCAAATAAAAACTACCCAGAAGCACTCTGTGAAACTTCTTTGTGATGTGTGCATTCAACTCACAGTGTTGAACCTATGTTTTGATTGAGCAGTTTGGAATCTCTCCTTTTGTAGAATCTGCAAGTGAATATTTGGAGCCCTATTTCGCCCTATACTGGAAAAGCAAATATCTTCAAATAAAAACTACACAGAGGCATTCAGAGAAACTTCTCTGTGATGAGTGCATTCATCACACAGAGTTGAACATTTGTTTAGATTTAGCAGTGTTGAGACAATCTTTCCGTAGAATCTTGAAGTGAATATTTGGAGGGCTTTGAGACCTGCTTTGGAGAAGGAGATATCTTCATATAAAAACTACACAGAAGCTTTCTGAGAAACACCCTTGTGAGGTGTGCATTGAAGTCACAGAGTTAAACCTATCTTTTGATTCAGCAGATTTGAATCTCTCTTTTTGCAGAATCTGCGAGTGGATATTTGGAGTGCTTGGAAGCCTGCTGTGGAAAATCAAATATCTTCACAAAAAAAACTACACAGAAGCATTCTGAGAAACTTCTTTGTGATGTGTGCATTGATCTCACAGAGTTGAAAGTTTATTTTGATTGAGCTGTTTTGAAACACTCTTTTTCTAGAATCTGCAAGTGGATAATTGGGGAGATTTGAGGCATATTGTGGAAAAGCCAATATCTTCATATAGAAACTATACAGAAACCTTCTGAGAAACATCTTTGTGATGTGTGCATTCAGCTCACAGAGCTGGACCTAACTTTTGAGTGACCAGTTTTGAATCTCTCTTTTTGTACAATATGCAAGTGGATATTTGGAGCGATTTGAGGCCTACATTTGAAAATCAAATATCTTCCCTTAAAAACTACACAGAAACATTCTCAGAAATTTTTTGTCATGTGTGCTTTCCAATTACCAAGTTGAACCTATCTTGTGATTGAGCAGTTTTGAATCTCTCTTTTTGTGGAATCGGCAAGTGGATATTTTTAGCCCTTTGCGGACTGTGGTGGAAAAGGAATTATCTTCAAATCAATTCTACACAGAAGCATTCAGACAAACTTCTTTGTGATGAGTGCATTGGTCACACAGAATTGAACCTTCCCTTTGATTGAGCAATTCTGAAACACTCTTTTGGAGGGTCTGCAAGTGGATATTTTAGAGCTTTGGGACAACTGTGGAAAAGTAAATATCTTCACATAAAAACTACACGGAAGCATTCTGAGAAACTTCTTTGGAGGTGTGCATTCAACTCACAGAGTTGAACCTATCTTTTCATTGAGCAGTTTTGAATCTCTCATTTTGTAGACTCTGCTCGCAGATATTTGGAGAGCTTTGAGGCCTATTGTGGAAAAGGAAATATCTTCACATAAAAACACACAGAAGCACTCTGAGAAACTTCTTTGTGAGGTGTGCTTTCAACTCACAGAGTTGAACCTATCTTTTGATTGAGAAGTTTTGAATCTCTCTTTTTGTAGAAGCTGCATGTGGATATTTGGAGACGTTTGTGGCCTATGGTAGAAAAGGAAATATCTTCAAATAAAAACTAGACAGACGCATTTTGAGAAAATTCTCTGTGCTGTGTGCATTCATATCACATGGTTGAAACTACCTTTGGATTGAGCAGTTTTGAATCTCACTTTTTGTACCATCTGCAATGGATATTTGGAGCCCTTTCTGGTCTGTGGTGGAAAAGGAACTATCCTCAAATAGAAACTACACAGAAGTACTCTGAGAAACTTCTTTGTGATGTGTGCATTCATCTCACAGAGTTGAACCTTTGGTTTGATTGAGCAGTTTTGAGACAATCTTTCCATAGAATCTGGAAGTGAATATTTGGGGAACTTTGAGATCCATTTTGGAGAAGGAGATATCTTTATATAAAAACTACACAGAAGCATGCTGAGAAACATCCTTGTGAGGTGTGCACTGAAGTCACAGAGTTGAAACTGTCTTTTGATTCAGCAGTTTTGAATCTCTCTTTTTGCAGAATCTGTGAGTGGATATTTGGAGCGCTTTGAGGCCTACTGTGGAAAACCAAATATCTTCACATAAAAACTACACAGAAGCATCCTGAGAAACTTTTTTTGTGATGTGGTCTTTCAGCTAATGGAGTAGAAACTATCTTTTGATTGAGCAGTTTTGAATCTCTCTTTTTGCAGAATCTACGAGTGGATAATTGGAGAACTTTGAGGCGTACTGTGGAAAATCGAATATCTTCGCATAAAAACTACACAGAAGCATTCTGAGAAACTTCTCTGTCATACGTACATTCATCTCACAGGGTTGATCCTATTTCATGATTGAGCAGTTTTGGAACACTCTTTTTGTAGAATCTGCAAGTGAATATTTGGAGCTCCTTGGGGCCTACTGTGGAAAAACAAATATCTTCACATAAAAACTACACAGAAGCATTCTGAGAAACTACTTTGTGATGTGTGCATTCATCCCACAGCAGTAGAACCTTTCTTTTGATTGAGCAGTTTCGAAACACTCTTTTGGTGGAATCTGCAAGTGGACATTTGGAAAGCTTTGAGGCCTATTGTGGAAAGGGAAATATCTTCAAATAAAAACCACCCAGAAGTACTCTGTGAAACTTCTTTGCGATGTATGCATTCAACTCACAGTGTTGAACCTATGTTTTGATTGAGCAGTTTGGAATCTCTCTTTCTGTAGAATCTGCAAGTGAATATTTGGAGCCCTATTTCGCCCTATACTGGAAAAGCAATTATCTTCAAATAAAAACTGCACAGAAGCACTCAGAGAAACTTCTTTGTGATGAATGCATTCATCACACAGAGTTGAACCTTTGTTTTGATTTAGCAGTTTGAGACAATCTTTCCGTAGAATCTTGAAGTGAATATTTGGAGGGCTTGGAGTTCTGTTTTAGAGAAGAAGATATCTTCATCAAAAACTACACAGAAGCTTTCTGAGAAACTTCTTTGTGATGTGTGCATTCAACTATCGGAGTTGAACCTATCTTATGATTGAGCAGTTTGGAAACACTCTTTGTAGAGTCTGCAAGTGGATATTTACAGAGATTTGAGGCCTATTGTGGAAAAGGAAGTATCTTCACATAAAAACCACACAGAAGCACTCTGAAAAACATCTTTGGGATGTGTGCATTCAACTAACCGTGTTGAAACAATGTTTTGATTGAGCAGCTTAGAATCTCTCTTTTTGTAGGAAATGCAAGTGGATATTTGGAGCCCCATTTCGCCCTATGGTGGAAAACGAAACATACTCACAAAAAAGCTGCAGAGAAGCATTCTGAGAAACTTCTTTGCGATGTTGGCATTCAACTCACAGAGTCGAATCTATCTTTTGATAGAGCAGTTTTGTATCTCTCTTTTTGCAGAATCTGCAAGTGGATATTTGGAAAGCTTTGAGGCCTATTGTGGAAAGGGAAATATCCTCAAATAAAAACTACCCAGAAGCACTCTGTGAAACTTCTTTGTGATGTGTGCATTCAACTCACAGTGTTGAACCTATGTTTTGATTGAGCAGTTTGGAATCTCTCCTTTTGTAGAATCTGCAAGTGAATATTTGGAGCCCTATTTCGCCCTATACTGGAAAAGCAAATATCTTCAAATAAAAACTACACAGAGGCATTCAGAGAAACTTCTCTGTGATGAGTGCATTCATCACACAGAGTTGAACATTTGTTTAGATTTAGCAGTGTTGAGACAATCTTTCCGTAGAATCTTGAAGTGAATATTTGGAGGGCTTTGAGACCTGCTTTGGAGAAGGAGATATCTTCATATAAAAACTACACAGAAGCTTTCTGAGAAACACCCTTGTGAGGTGTGCATTGAAGTCACAGAGTTAAACCTATCTTTTGATTCAGCAGATTTGAATCTCTCTTTTTGCAGAATCTGCGAGTGGATATTTGGAGTGCTTGGAAGCCTGCTGTGGAAAATCAAATATCTTCACAAAAAAAACTACACAGAAGCATTCTGAGAAACTTCTTTGTGATGTGTGCATTGATCTCACAGAGTTGAAAGTTTATTTTGATTGAGCTGTTTTGAAACACTCTTTTTCTAGAATCTGCAAGTGGATAATTGGGGAGATTTGAGGCATATTGTGGAAAAGCATATATCTTCATATAAAAACTATACAGAAACCTTCTGAGAAACATCTTTGTGATGTGTGCATTCAGCTCACAGAGCTGGACCTAACTTTTGAGTGACCAGTTTTGAATCTCTCTTTTTGTACAATATGCAAGTGGATATTTGGAGCGATTTGAGGCCTACATTTGAAAATCAAATATCTTCCCTTAAAAACTACACAGAAACATTCTCAGAAATTGTTTGTCATGTGTGCTTTCCAATTACCAAGTTGAACCTATCTTGTGATTGAGCAGTTTTGAATCTCTCTTTTTGTGGAATCGGCAAGTGGATATTTTTAGCCCTTTGCGGACTGTGGTGGAAAAGGAATTATCTTCAAATCAATTCTACACAGAAGCATTCAGACAAACTTCTTTGTGATGAGTGCATTGGTCACACAGAATTGAACCTTCCCTTTGATTGAGCAATTCTGAAACACTCTTTTGGAGGGTCTGCAAGTGGACATTTTAGAGCTTTGGGACAACTGTGGAAAAGTAAATATCTTCACATAAAAACTACACGGAAGCATTCTGAGAAACTTCTTTGGAGGTGTGCATTCAACTCACAGAGTTGAACCTATCTTTTCATTGAGCAGTTTTGAATCTCTCATTTTGTAGACTCTGCTCGCAGATATTTGGAGAGCTTTGAGGCCTATTGTGGAAAAGGAAATATCTTCACATAAAAACACACAGAAGCACTCTGAGAAACTTCTTTGTGAGGTGTGCTTTCAACTCACAGAGTTGAACCTATCTTTTGATTGAGAAGTTTTGAATCTCTCTTTTTGTAGAAGCTGCATGTGGATATTTGGAGACGTTTGTGGCCTATGGTAGAAAAGGAAATATCTTCAAATAAAAACTAGACAGACGCATTTTGGGAAAATTCTCTGTGCTGTGTGCATTCATATCACATGGTTGAAACTACCTTTGGATTGAGCAGTTTTGAATCTCACTTTTTGTACCATCTGCAATGGATATTTGGAGCCCTTTCTGGTCTGTGGTGGAAAAGGAACTATCCTCAAATAGAAACTACACAGAAGTACTCTGAGAAACTTCTTTGTGATGTGTGCACTCATCTCACAGAGTTGAACCTTTGGTTTGATTGAGCAGTTTTGAGACAATCTTTCCATAGAATCTGGAAGTGAATATTTGGAGAACTTTGAGATCCATTTTGGAGAAGGAGATATCTTTATATAAAAACTACACAGAAGCATGCTGAGAAACATCCTTGTGAGGTGTGCACTGAAGTCACAGAGTTGAAACTGTCTTTTGATTCAGCAGTTTTGAATCTCTCTTTTTGCAGAATCTGTGAGTGGATATTTGGAGCGCTTTGAGGCCTACTGTGGAAAACCAAATATCTTCACATAAAAACTACACAGAAGCATCCTGAGAAACTTTTTTTGTGATGTGGTCTTTCAGCTAATGGAGTAGAAACTATCTTTTGATTGAGCAGTTTTGAATCTCTCTTTTTGCAGAATCTACGAGTGGATAATTGGAGAACTTTGAGGCGTACTGTGGAAAATCGAATATCTTCGCATAAAAACTACACAGAAGCATTCTGAGAAACTTCTCTGTCATACGTACATTCATCTCACAGGGTTGATCCTATTTCATGATTGAGCAGTTTTGGAACACTCTTTTTGTAGAATCTGCAAGTGAATATTTGGAGCTCCTTGGGGCCTACTGTGGAAAAACAAATATCTTCACATAAAAACTACACAGAAGCATTCTGAGAAACTACTTTGTGATGTGTGCATTCATCCCACAGAGTAGAACCTTTCTTTTGATTGAGCAGTTTCGAAACACTCTTTTGGTGGAATCTGCAAGTGGACATTTGGAAAGCTTTGAGGCCTATTGTGGAAAGGGAAATATCTTCAAATAAAAACCACCCAGAAGTACTCTGTGAAACTTCTTTGCGATGTATGCATTCAACTCACAGTGTTGAACGTATGTTTTGATTGAGCAGTTTGGAATCTCTCTTTCTGTAGAATCTGCAAGTGAATATTTGGAGCCCTATTTCGCCCTATACTGGAAAAGCAATTATCTTCAAATAAAAACTGCACAGAAGCATTCAGAGAAACTTCTTTGAGATGAATGCATTCATGACACAGAGTTGAAACTTTGTTTTGATTTAGGAGTTTTGAGACAATCTTTCCGTAGAATCTTGAAGTGAATATTTTTGGAGGGCTTGGAGTTCTGTTTTAGAGAAGGAGATATCTTCATCAAAAACTACACAGAAGCTTTCTGAGAAACTTCTTTGTGATGTGTGCATTCAACTATCGGAGTTGAACCTATCTTATGATTGAGCAGTTTGGAAACACTCTTTGTAGAGTCTGCAAGTGGATATTTACAGAGATTTGAGGCCTATTGTGGAAAAGGAAGTATCTTCACATAAAAACCACACAGAAGCACTCTGAAAAACATCTTTGGGATGTGTGCATTCAACTAACCGTGTTGAAACAATGTTTTGATTGAGCAGCTTAGAATCTCTCTTTTTGTAGGAAATTCAAGTGGATATTTGGAGCCCCATTTCGCCCTATGGTGGAAAACGAAACATACTCACAAAAAAGCTGCAGAGAAGCATTCTGAGAAACTTCTTTGCGATGTTGGCATTCAACTCACAGAGTCGAATCTATCTTTTGATAGAGCAGTTTTGTATCTCTCTTTTTGCAGAATCTGCAAGTGGATATTTGGAAAGCTTTGAGGCCTATTGTGGAAAGGGAAATATCCTCAAATAAAAACTACCCAGAAGCACTCTGTGAAACTTCTTTGTGATGTGTGCATTCAACTCACAGTGTTGAACCTATGTTTTGATTGAGCAGTTTGGAATCTCTCCTTTTGTAGAATCTGCAAGTGAATATTTGGAGCCCTATTTCGCCCTATACTGGAAAAGCAAATATCTTCAAATAAAAACTACACAGAGGCATTCAGAGAAACTTCTCTGTGATGAGTGCATTCATCACACAGAGTTGAACATTTGTTTAGATTTAGCAGTGTTGAGACAATCTTTCCGTAGAATCTTGAAGTGAATATTTGGAGGGCTTTGAGACCTGCTTTGGAGAAGGAGATATCTTCATATAAAAACTACACAGAAGCTTTCTGAGAAACACCCTTGTGAGGTGTGCATTGAAGTCACAGAGTTAAACCTATCTTTTGATTCAGCAGATTTGAATCTCTCTTTTTGCAGAATCTGCGAGTGGATATTTGGAGTGCTTGGAAGCCTGCTGTGGAAAATCAAATATCTTCACAAAAAAAACTACACAGAAGCATTCTGAGAAACTCCTTTGTGATGTGTGCATTGATCTCACAGAGTTGAAAGTTTATTTTGATTGAGCTGTTTTGAAACACTCTTTTTCTAGAATCTGCAAGTGGATAATTGGGGAGATTTGAGGCATATTGTGGAAAAGCAAATATCTTCATATAGAAACTATACAGAAACCTTCTGAGAAACATCTTTGTGATGTGTGCATTCAGCTCACAGAGCTGGACCTAACTTTTGAGTGACCAGTTTTGAATCTCTCTTTTTGTACAATATGCAAGTGGATATTTGGAGCGATTTGAGGCCTACATTTGAAAATCAAATATCTTCCCTTAAAAACTACACAGAAACATTCTCAGAAATTGTTTGTCATGTGTGCTTTCCAATTACCAAGTTGAACCTATCTTGTGATTGAGCAGTTTTGAATCTCTCTTTTTGTGGAATCGGCAAGTGGATATTTTTAGCCCTTTGCGGACTGTGGTGGAAAAGGAATTATCTTCAAATCAATTCTACACAGAAGCATTCAGACAAACTTCTTTGTGATGAGTGCATTGGTCACACAGAATTGAACCTTCCCTTTGATTGAGCAATTCTGAAACACTCTTTTGGAGGGTCTGCAAGTGGATATTTTAGAGCTTTGGGACAACTGTGGAAAAGTAAATATCTTCACATAAAAACTACACGGAAGCATTCTGAGAAACTTCTTTGGAGGTGTGCATTCAACTCACAGAGTTGAACCTATCTTTTCATTGAGCAGTTTTGAATCTCTCATTTTGTAGACTCTGCTCGCAGATATTTGGAGAGCTTTGAGGCCTATTGTGGAAAAGGAAATATCTTCACATAAAAACACACAGAAGCACTCTGAGAAACTTCTTTGTGAGGTGTGCTTTCAACTCACAGAGTTGAACCTATCTTTTGATTGAGAAGTTTTGAATCTCTCTTTTTGTAGAAGCTGCATGTGGATATTTGGAGACGTTTGTGGCCTATGGTAGAAAAGGAAATATCTTCAAATAAAAACTAGACAGACGCATTTTGAGAAAATTCTCTGTGCTGTGTGCATTCATATCACATGGTTGAAACTACCTTTGGATTGAGCAGTTTTGAATCTCACTTTTTGTACCATCTGCAATGGATATATGGAGCCCTTTCTGGTCTGTGGTGGAAAAGGAACTATCCTCAAATAGAAACTACACAGAAGTACTCTGAGAAACTTCTTTGTGATGTGGGCATTCATCTCACAGAGTTGAACCTTTGGTTTGATTGAGCAGTTTTGAGACAATCTTTCCATAGAATCTGGAAGTGAATATTTGGAGAACTTTGAGATCCATTTTGGAGAAGGAGATATCTTTATATGAAAACTACACAGAAGCATTCTGAGAAACATCCTTTTGAGGTGTGCACTGAAGTCACAGAGTTGAAACTGTCTTTTGATTCAGCAGTTTTGAATCTCTCTTTTTGCAGAATCTGTGAGTGGATATTTGGAGCGCTTTGAGGCCTACTGTGGAAAACCAAATATCTTCACATAAAAACTACACAGAAGCATCTGAGAAACTTTTTTTGTGATGTGGTCTTTCAGCTAATGGAGTAGAAACTATCTTTTGATTGAGCAGTTTTGAATCTCTCTTTTTGCAGAATCTACGAGTGGATAATTGGAGAACTTTGAGGCGTACTGTGGAAAATCGAATATCTTCGCATAAAAACTACACAGAAGCATTCTGAGAAACTTCTCTGTCATACGTACATTCATCTCACAGGGTTGATCCTATTTCATGATTGAGCAGTTTTGGAACACTCTTTTTGTAGAATCTGCAAGTGAATATTTGGAGCTCTTTGGGGCCTACTGTGGAAAAACAAATATCTTCACATAAAAACTACACAGAAGCATTCTGAGAAACTACTTTGTGATGTGTGCATTCATCCCACAGAGTAGAACCTTTCTTTTGATTGAGCAGTTTCGAAACACTCTTTTGGTGGAATCTGCAAGTGGACATTTGGAAAGCTTTGAGGCCTATTGTGGAAAGGGAAATATCTTCAAATAAAAACCACCCAGAAGTACTCTGTGAAACTTCTTTGCGATGTATGCATTCAACTCACAGTGTTGAACCTATGTTTTGATTGAGCAGTTTGGAATCTCTCTTTCTGTAGAATCTGCAAGTGAATATTTGGAGCCCTATTTCGCCCTATACTGGAAAAGCAATTATCTTCAAATAAAAACTGCACAGAAGCACTCAGAGAAACTTCTTTGTGATGAATGCATTCATCACACAGAGTTGAACCTTTGTTTTGATTTAGCAGTTTGAGACAATCTTTCCGTAGAATCTTGAAGTGAATATTTGGAGGGCTTGGAGTTCTGTTTTAGAGAAGAAGATATCTTCATCAAAAACTACACAGAAGCTTTCCGAGAAACTTCTTTGTGATGTGTGCATTCAACTATCGGAGTTGAACCTATCTTATGATTGAGCAGTTTGGAAACACTCTTTGTAGAGTCTGCAAGTGGATATTTACAGAGATTTGAGGCCTATTGTGGAAAAGGAAGTATCTTCACATAAAAACCACACAGAAGCACTCTGAAAAACATCTTTGGGATGTGTGCATTCAACTAACCGTGTTGAAACAATGTTTTGATTGAGCAGCTTAGAATCTCTCTTTTTGTAGGAAATGCAAGTGGATATTTGGAGCCCCATTTCGCCCTATGGTGGAAAACGAAACATACTCACAAAAAAGCTGCAGAGAAGCATTCTGAGAAACTTCTTTGCGATGTTGGCATTCAACTCACAGAGTCGAATCTATCTTTTGATAGAGCAGTTTTGTATCTCTCTTTTTGCAGAATCTGCAAGTGGATATTTGGAAAGCTTTGAGGCCTATTGTGGAAAGGGAAATATCCTCAAATAAAAACTACCCAGAAGCACTCTGTGAAACTTCTTTGTGATGTGTGCATTCAACTCACAGTGTTGAACCTATGTTTTGATTGAGCAGTTTGGAATCTCTCCTTTTGTAGAATCTGCAAGTGAATATTTGGAGCCCTATTTCGCCCTATACTGGAAAAGCAAATATCTTCAAATAAAAACTACACAGAGGCATTCAGAGAAACTTCTCTGTGATGAGTGCATTCATCACACAGAGTTGAACATTTGTTTAGATTTAGCAGTGTTGAGACAATCTTTCCGTAGAATCTTGAAGTGAATATTTGGAGGGCTTTGAGACCTGCTTTGGAGAAGGAGATATCTTCATATAAAAACTACACAGAAGCTTTCTGAGAAACACCCTTGTGAGGTGTGCATTGAAGTCACAGAGTTAAACCTATCTTTTGATTCAGCAGATTTGAATCTCTCTTTTTGCAGAATCTGCGAGTGGATATTTGGAGTGCTTGGAAGCCTGCTGTGGAAAATCAAATATCTTCACAAAAAAAACTACACAGAAGCATTCTGAGAAACTCCTTTGTGATGTGTGCATTGATCTCACAGAGTTGAAAGTTTATTTTGATTGAGCTGTTTTGAAACACTCTTTTTCTAGAATCTGCAAGTGGATAATTGGGGAGATTTGAGGCATATTGTGGAAAAGCAAATATCTTCATATAGAAACTATACAGAAACCTTCTGAGAAACATCTTTGTGATGTGTGCATTCAGCTCACAGAGCTGGACCTAACTTTTGAGTGACCAGTTTTGAATCTCTCTTTTTGTACAATATGCAAGTGGATATTTGGAGCGATTTGAGGCCTACATTTGAAAATCAAATATCTTCCCTTAAAAACTACACAGAAACATTCTCAGAAATTGTTTGTCATGTGTGCTTTCCAATTACCAAGTTGAACCTATCTTGTGATTGAGCAGTTTTGAATCTCTCTTTTTGTGGAATCGGCAAGTGGATATTTTTAGCCCTTTGCGGACTGTGGTGGAAAAGGAATTATCTTCAAATCAATTCTACACAGAAGCATTCAGACAAACTTCTTTGTGATGAGTGCATTGGTCACACAAAATTGAACCTTCCCTTTGATTGAGCAATTCTGAAACACTCTTTTGGAGGGTCTGCAAGTGGATATTTTAGAGCTTTGGGACAACTGTGGAAAAGTAAATATCTTCACATAAAAACTACACGGAAGCATTCTGAGAAACTTCTTTGGAGGTGTGCATTCAACTCACAGAGTTGAACCTATCTTTTCATTGAGCAGTTTTGAATCTCTCATTTTGTAGACTCTGCTCGCAGATATTTGGAGAGCTTTGAGGCCTATTGTGGAAAAGGAAATATCTTCACATAAAAACACACAGAAGCACTCTGAGAAACTTCTTTGTGAGGTGTGCTTTCAACTCACAGAGTTGAACCTATCTTTTGATTGAGAAGTTTTGAATCTCTCTTTTTGTAGAAGCTGCATGTGGATATTTGGAGACGTTTGTGGCCTATGGTAGAAAAGGAAATATCTTCAAATAAAAACTAGACAGACGCATTTTGAGAAAATTCTCTGTGCTGTGTGCATTCATATCACATGGTTGAAACTACCTTTGGATTGAGCAGTTTTGAATCTCACTTTTTGTACCATCTGCAATGGATATTTGGAGCCCTTTCTGGTCTGTGGTGGAAAAGGAACTATCCTCAAATAGAAACTACACAGAAGTACTCTGAGAAACTTCTTTGTGATGTGGGCATTCATCTCACAGAGTTGAACCTTTGGTTTGATTGAGCAGTTTTGAGACAATCTTTCCATAGAATCTGGAAGTGAATATTTGGAGAACTTTGAGATCCATTTTGGAGAAGGAGATATCTTTATATAAAAACTACACAGAAGCATTCTGAGAAACATCCTTGTGAGGTGTGCACTGAAGTCACAGAGTTGAAACTGTCTTTTGATTCAGCAGTTTTGAATCTCTCTTTTTGCAGAATCTGTGAGTGGATATTTGGAGCGCTTTGAGGCCTACTGTGGAAAACCAAATATCTTCACATAAAAACTACACAGAAGCATCCTGAGAAACTTTTTTTGTGATGTGGTCTTTCAGCTAATGGAGTAGAAACTATCTTTTGATTGAGCAGTTTTGAGTCTCTCTTTTTGCAGAATCTACGAGTGGATAATTGGAGAACTTTGAGGCGTACTGTGGAAAATCGAATATCTTCGCATAAAAACTACACAGAAGCATTCTGAGAAACTTCTCTGTCATACGTACATTCATCTCACAGGGTTGATCCTATTTCATGATTGAGCAGTTTTGGAACACTCTTTTTGTAGAATCTGCAAGTGAATATTTGGAGCTCTTTGGGGCCTACTGTGGAAAAACAAATATCTTCACATAAAAACTACACAGAAGCATTCTGAGAAACTACTTTGTGATGTGTGCATTCATCCCACAGAGTAGAACCTTTCTTTTGATTGAGCAGTTTCGAAACACTCTTTTGGTGGAATCTGCAAGTGGACATTTGGAAAGCTTTGAGGCCTATTGTGGAAAGGGAAATATCTTCAAATAAAAACCACCCAGAAGTACTCTGTGAAACTTCTTTGCGATGTATGCATTCAACTCACAGTGTTGAACCTATGTTTTGATTGAGCAGTTTGGAATCTCTCTTTCTGTAGAATCTGCAAGTGAATATTTGGAGCCCTATTTCGCCCTATACTGGAAAAGCAATTATCTTCAAATAAAAACTGCACAGAAGCACTCAGAGAAGCTTCTTTGTGATGAATGCATTCATCACACAGAGTTGAACCTTTGTTTTGATTTAGCAGTTTGAGACAATCTTTCCGTAGAATCTTGAAGTGAATATTTGGAGGGCTTGGAGTTCTGTTTTAGAGAAGAAGATATCTTCATCAAAAACTACACAGAAGCTTTCTGAGAAACTTCTTTGTGATGTGTGCATTCAACTATCGGAGTTGAACCTATCTTATGATTGAGCAGTTTGGAAACACTCTTTGTAGAGTCTGCAAGTGGATATTTACAGAGATTTGAGGCCTATTGTGGAAAAGGAAGTATCTTCACATAAAAACCACACAGAAGCACTCTGAAAAACATCTTTGGGATGTGTGCATTCAACTAACCGTGTTGAAACAATGTTTTGATTGAGCAGCTTAGAATCTCTCTTTTTGTAGGAAATGCAAGTGGATATTTGGAGCCCCATTTCGCCCTATGGTGGAAAACGAAACATACTCACAAAAAAGCTGCAGAGAAGCATTCTGAGAAACTTCTTTGCGATGTTGGCATTCAACTCACAGAGTCGAATCTATCTTTTGATAGAGCAGTTTTGTATCTCTCTTTTTGCAGAATCTGCAAGTGGATATTTGGAAAGCTTTGAGGCCTATTGTGGAAAGGGAAATATCCTCAAATAAAAACTACCCAGAAGCACTCTGTGAAACTTCTTTGTGATGTGTGCATTCAACTCACAGTGTTGAACCTATGTTTTGATTGAGCAGTTTGGAATCTCTCCTTTTGTAGAATCTGCAAGTGAATATTTGGAGCCCTATTTCGCCCTATACTGGAAAAGCAAATATCTTCAAATAAAAACTACACAGAGGCATTCAGAGAAACTTCTCTGTGATGAGTGCATTCATCACACAGAGTTGAACATTTGTTTAGATTTAGCAGTGTTGAGACAATCTTTCCGTAGAATCTTGAAGTGAATATTTGGAGGGCTTTGAGACCTGCTTTGGAGAAGGAGATATCTTCATATAAAAACTACACAGAAGCTTTCTGAGAAACACCCTTGTGAGGTGTGCATTGAAGTCACAGAGTTAAACCTATCTTTTGATTCAGCAGATTTGAATCTCTCTTTTTGCAGAATCTGCGAGTGGATATTTGGAGTGCTTGGAAGCCTGCTGTGGAAAATCAAATATCTTCACAAAAAAAACTACACAGAAGCATTCTGAGAAACTTCTTTGTGATGTGTGCATTGATCTCACAGAGTTGAAAGTTTATTTTGATTGAGCTGTTTTGAAACACTCTTTTTCTAGAATCTGCAAGTGGATAATTGGGGAGATTTGAGGCATATTGTGGAAAAGCCAATATCTTCATATAGAAACTATACAGAAACCTTCTGAGAAACATCTTTGTGATGTGTGCATTCAGCTCACAGAGCTGGACCTAACTTTTGAGTGACCAGTTTTGAATCTCTCTTTTTGTACAATATGCAAGTGGATATTTGGAGCGATTTGAGGCCTACATTTGAAAATCAAATATCTTCCCTTAAAAACTACACAGAAACATTCTCAGAAATTGTTTGTCATGTGTGCTTTCCAATTACCAAGTTGAACCTATCTTGTGATTGAGCAGTTTTGAATCTCTCTTTTTGTGGAATCGGCAAGTGGATATTTTTAGCCCTTTGCGGACTGCGGTGGAAAAGGAATTATCTTCAAATCAATTCTACACAGAAGCATTCAGACAAACTTCTTTGTGATGAGTGCATTGGTCACACAGAATTGAACCTTCCCTTTGATTGAGCAATTCTGAAACACTCTTTTGGAGGGTCTGCAAGTGGACATTTTAGAGCTTTGGGACAACTGTGGAAAAGTAAATATCTTCACATAAAAACTACACGGAAGCATTCTGAGAAACTTCTTTGGAGGTGTGCATTCAACTCACAGAGTTGAACCTATCTTTTCATTGAGCAGTTTTGAATCTCTCATTTTGTAGACTCTGCTCGCAGATATTTGGAGAGCTTTGAGGCCTATTGTGGAAAAGGAAATATCTTCACATAAAAACACACAGAAGCACTCTGAGAAACTTCTTTGTGAGGTGTGCTTTCAACTCACAGAGTTGAACCTATCTTTTGATTGAGAAGTTTTGAATCTCTCTTTTTGTAGAAGCTGCATGTGGATATTTGGAGACGTTTGTGGCCTATGGTAGAAAAGGAAATATCTTCAAATAAAAACTAGACAGACGCATTTTGAGAAAATTCTCTGTGCTGTGTGCATTCATATCACATGGTTGAAACTACCTTTGGATTGAGCAGTTTTGAATCTCACTTTTTGTACCATCTGCAATGGATATTTGGAGCCCTTTCTGGTCTGTGGTGGAAAAGGAACTATCCTCAAATAGAAACTACACAGAAGTACTCTGAGAAACTTCTTTGTGATGTGGGCATTCATCTCACAGAGTTGAACCTTTGGTTTGATTGAGCAGTTTTGAGACAATCTTTCCATAGAATCTGGAAGTGAATATTTGGAGAACTTTGAGATCCATTTTGCAGAAGGAGATATCTTTATATAAAAACTACACAGAAGCATTCTGAGAAACATCCTTGTGAGGTGTGCACTGAAGTCACAGAGTTGAAACTGTCTTTTGATTCAGCAGTTTTGAATCTCTCTTTTTGCAGAATCTGTGAGTGGATATTTGGAGCGCTTTGAGGCCTACTGTGGAAAACCAAATATCTTCACATAAAAACTACACAGAAGCATCCTGAGAAACTTTTTTTGTGATGTGGTCTTTCAGCTAATGGAGTAGAAACTATCTTTTGATTGAGCAGTTTTGAATCTCTCTTTTTGCAGAATCTACGAGTGGATAATTGGAGAACTTTGAGGCGTACTGTGGAAAATCGAATATCTTCGCATAAAAACTACACAGAAGCATTCTGAGAAACTTCTCTGTCATACGTACATTCATCTCACAGGGTTGATCCTATTTCATGATTGAGCAGTTTTGGAACACTCTTTTTGTAGAATCTGCAAGTGAATATTTGGAGCTCCTTGGGGCCTACTGTGGAAAAACAAATATCTTCACATAAAAACTACACAGAAGCATTCTGAGAAACTACTTTGTGATGTGTGCATTCATCCCACAGAGTAGAACCTTTCTTTTGATTGAGCAGTTTCGAAACACTCTTTTGGTGGAATCTGCAAGTGGACATTTGGAAAGCTTTGAGGCCTATTGTGGAAAGGGAAATATCTTCAAATAAAAACCACCCAGAAGTACTCTGTGAAACTTCTTTGCGATGTATGCATTCAACTCACAGTGTTGAACCTACGTTTTGATTGAGCAGTTTGGAATCTCTCTTTCTGTAGAATCTGCAAGTGAATATTTGGAGCCCTATTTCGCCCTATACTGGAAAAGCAATTATCTTCAAATAAAAACTGCACAGAAGCATTCAGAGAAACTTCTTTGAGATGAATGCATTCATGACACAGAGTTGAAACTTTGTTTTGATTTAGGAGTTTTGAGACAATCTTTCCGTAGAATCTTGAAGTGAATATTTGGAGGGCTTGGAGTTCTGTTTTAGAGAAGGAGATATCTTCATCAAAAACTACACAGAAAGCTTTCTGAGAAACTTCTTTGTGATGTGTGCATTCAACTATCGGAGTTGAACCTATCTTATGATTGAGCAGTTTGGAAACACTCTTTGTAGAGTCTGCAAGTGGATATTTACAGAGATTTGAGGCCTATTGTGGAAAAGGAAGTATCTTCACATAAAAACCACACAGAAGCACTCTGAAAAACATCTTTGGGATGTGTGCATTCAACTAACCGTGTTGAAACAATGTTTTGATTGAGCAGCTTAGAATCTCTCTTTTTGTAGGAAATGCAAGTGGATATTTGGAGCCCCATTTCGCCCTATGGTGGAAAACGAAACATACTCACAAAAAAGCTGCAGAGAAGCATTCTGAGAAACTTCTTTGCGATGTTGGCATTCAACTCACAGTAGTCGAATCTATCTTTTGATAGAGCAGTTTTGTATCTCTCTTTTTGCAGAATCTGCAAGTGGATATTTGGAAAGCTTTGAGGCCTATTGTGGAAAGGGAAATATCCTCAAATAAAAACTACCCAGAAGCACTCTGTGAAACTTCTTTGTGATGTGTGCATTCAACTCACAGTGTTGAACCTATGTTTTGATTGAGCAGTTTGGAATCTCTCCTTTTGTAGAATCTGCAAGTGAATATTTGGAGCCCTATTTCGCCCTATACTGGAAAAGCAAATATCTTCAAATAAAAACTACACAGAGGCATTCAGAGAAACTTCTCTGTGATGAGTGCATTCATCACACAGAGTTGAACATTTGTTTAGATTTAGCAGTGTTGAGACAATCTTTCCGTAGAATCTTGAAGTGAATATTTGGAGGGCTTTGAGACCTGCTTTGGAGAAGGAGATATCTTCATATAAAAACTACACAGAAGCTTTCTGAGAAACACCCTTGTGAGGTGTGCATTGAAGTCACAGAGTTAAACCTATCTTTTGATTCAGCAGATTTGAATCTCTCTTTTTGCAGAATCTGCGAGTGGATATTTGGAGTGCTTGGAAGCCTGCTGTGGAAAATCAAATATCTTCACAAAAAAAACTACACAGAAGCATTCTGAGAAACCTCCTTTGTGATGTGTGCATTGATCTCACAGAGTTGAAAGTTTATTTTGATTGAGCTGTTTTGAAACACTCTTTTTCTAGAATCTGCAAGTGGATAATTGGGGAGATTTGAGGCATATTGTGGAAAAGCAAATATCTTCATATAGAAACTATACAGAAACCTTCTGAGAAACATCTTTGTGATGTGTGCATTCAGCTCACAGAGCTGGACCTAACTTTTGAGTGACCAGTTTTGAATCTCTCTTTTTGTACAATATGCAAGTGGATATTTGGAGCGATTTGAGGCCTACATTTGAAAATCAAATATCTTCCCTTAAAAACTACACAGAAACATTCTCAGAAATTGTTTGTCATGTGTGCTTTCCAATTACCAAGTTGAACCTATCTTGTGATTGAGCAGTTTTGAATCTCTCTTTTTGTGGAATCGGCAAGTGGATATTTTTAGCCCTTTGCGGACTGTGGTGGAAAAGGAATTATCTTCAAATCAATTCTACACAGAAGCATTCAGACAAACTTCTTTGTGATGAGTGCATTGGTCACACAGAATTGAACCTTCCCTTTGATTGAGCAATTCTGAAACACTCTTTTGGAGGGTCTGCAAGTGGACATTTTAGAGCTTTGGGACAACTGTGGAAAAGTAAATATCTTCACATAAAAACTACACGGGAAGCATTCTGAGAAACTTCTTTGGAGGTGTGCATTCAACTCACAGAGTTGAACCTATCTTTTCATTGAGCAGTTTTGAATCTCTCATTTTGTAGACTCTGCTCGCAGATATTTGGAGAGCTTTGAGGCCTATTGTGGAAAAGGAAATATCTTCACATAAAAACACACAGAAGCACTCTGAGAAACTTCTCTGTGAGGTGTGCTTTCAACTCACAGAGTTGAACCTATCTTTTGATTGAGAAGTTTTGAATCTCTCTTTTTGTAGAAGCTGCATGTGGATATTTGGAGACGTTTGTGGCCTATGGTAGAAAAGGAAATATCTTCAAATAAAAACTAGACAGACGCATTTTGAGAAAATTCTCTGTGCTGTGTGCATTCATATCACATGGTTGAAACTACCTTTGGATTGAGCAGTTTTGAATCTCACTTTTTGTACCATCTGCAATGGATATTTGGAGCCCTTTCTGGTCTGTGGTGGAAAAGGAACTATCCTCAAATAGAAACTACACAGAAGTACTCTGAGAAACTTCTTTGTGATGTGGGCATTCATCTCACAGAGTTGAACCTTTGGTTTGATTGAGCAGTTTTGAGACAATCTTTCCATAGAATCTGGAAGTGAATATCTGGAGAACTTTGAGATCCATTTTGGAGAAGGAGATATCTTTATATAAAAACTCCACAGAAGCATTCTGAGAAACATCCTTGTGAGGTGTGCACTGAAGTCACAGAGTTGAAACTGTCTTTTGATTCAGCAGTTTTGAATCTCTCTTTTTGCAGAATCTGTGAGTGGATATTTGGAGCGCTTTGAGGCCTACTGTGGAAAACCAAATATCTTCACATAAAAACTACACAGAAGCATCCTGAGAAACTTTTTTTGTGATGTGGTCTTTCAGCTAATGGAGTAGAAACTATCTTTTGATTGAGCAGTTTTGAATCTCTCTTTTTGCGGGATCTACGAGTGGATAATTGGAGAACTTTGAGGCGTACTGTGGAAAGTCGAATATCTTCGCATAAAAACTACACAGAAGAATTCTGAGAAACTTCTCTGTCATACGTACATTCATCTCACAGGGTTGATCCTATTTCATGATTGAGCAGTTTTGGAACACTCTTTTTGTAGAATCTGCAAGTGAATATTTGGGGCCTACTGTGGAAAAACAAATATCTTCACATAAAAACTACACAGAAGCATTCTGAGAAACTACTTTGTGATGTGTGCATTCATCCCACAGAGTAGAACCTTTCTTTTGATTGAGCAGTTTCGAAACACTCTTTTGGTGGAATCTGCAAGTGGACATTTGGAAAGCTTTGAGGCCTATTGTGGAAAGGGAAATATCTTCAAATAAAAACCACCCAGAAGTACTCTGTGAAACTTCTTTGCGATGTATGCATTCAACTCACAGTGTTGAACCTATGTTTTGATTGAGCAGTTTGGAATCTCTCTTTCTGTAGAATCTGCAAGTGAATATTTGGAGCCCTATTTCGCCCTATACTGGAAAAGCAATTATCTTCAAATAAAAACTGCACAGAAGCATTCAGAGAAAGTTCTTTGAGATGAATGCATTCATGACACAGAGTTGAAACTTTGTTTTGATTTAGGAGTTTTGAGACAATCTTTCCGTAGAATCTTGAAGTGAATATTTGGAGGGCTTGGAGTTCTGTTTTAGAGAAGGAGATATCTTCATCAAAAACTACACAGAAGCTTTCTGAGAAACTTCTTTGTGATGTGTGCATTCAACTATCGGAGTTGAACCTATCTTATGATTGAGGAGTTTGGAAACACTCTTTGTAGAGTCTGCAAGTGGATATTTACAGAGATTTGAGGCCTATTGTGGAAAAGGAAGTATCTTCACATAAAAACCACACAGAAGCACTCTGAAAAACATCTTTGGGATGTGTGCATTCAACTAACCGTGTTGAAACAATGTTTTGATTGAGCAGCTTAGAATCTCTCTTTTTGTAGGAAATGCAAGTGGATATTTGGAGCCCCATTTCGCCCTATGGTGGAAAACGAAACATACTCACAAAAAAGCTGCAGAGAAGCATTCTGAGAAACTTCTTTGCGATGTTGGCATTCAACTCACAGAGTCGAATCTATCTTTTGATAGAGCAGTTTTGTATCTCTCTTTTTGCAGAATCTGCAAGTGGATATTTGGAAAGCTTTGAGGCCTATTGTGGAAAGGGAAATATCCTCAAATAAAAACTACCCAGAAGCACTCTGTGAAACTTCTTTGTGATGTGTGCATTCAACTCACAGTGTTGAACCTATGTTTTGATTGAGCAGTTTGGAATCTCTCCTTTTGTAGAATCTGCAAGTGAATATTTGGAGCCCTATTTCGCCCTATACTGGAAAAGCAAATATCTTCAAATAAAAACTACACAGAGGCATTCAGAGAAACTTCTCTGTGATGAGTGCATTCATCACACAGAGTTGAACATTTGTTTAGATTTAGCAGTGTTGAGACAATCTTTCCGTAGAATCTTGAAGTGAATATTTGGAGGGCTTTGAGACCTGCTTTGGAGAAGGAGATATCTTCATATAAAAACTACACAGAAGCTTTCTGAGAAACACCCTTGTGAGGTGTGCATTGAAGTCACAGAGTTAAACCTATCTTTTGATTCAGCAGATTTGAATCTCTCTTTTTGCAGAATCTGCGAGTGGATATTTGGAGTGCTTGGAAGCCTGCTGTGGAAAATCAAATATCTTCACAAAAAAAACTACACAGAAGCATTCTGAGAAACTTCTTTGTGATGTGTGCATTGATCTCACAGAGTTGAAAGTTTATTTTGATTGAGCTGTTTTGAAACACTCTTTTTCTAGAATCTGCAAGTGGATAATTGGGGAGATTTGAGGCATATTGTGGAAAAGCAAATATCTTCATATAGAAACTATACAGAAACCTTCTGAGAAACATCTTTGTGATGTGTGCATTCAGCTCACAGAGCTGGACCTAACTTTTGAGTGACCAGTTTTGAATCTCTCTTTTTGTACAATATGCAAGTGGATATTTGGAGCGATTTGAGGCCTACATTTGAAAATCAAATATCTTCCCTTAAAAACTACACAGAAACATTCTCAGAAATTGTTTGTCATGTGTGCTTTCCAATTACCAAGTTGAACCTATCTTGTGATTGAGCAGTTTTGAATCTCTCTTTTTGTGGAATCGGCAAGTGGATATTTTTAGCCCTTTGCGGACTGTGGTGGAAAAGGAATTATCTTCAAATCAATTCTACACAGAAGCATTCAGACAAACTTCTTTGTGATGAGTGCATTGGTCACACAGAATTGAACCTGCCCTTTGATTGAGCAATTCTGAAACACTCTTTTGGAGGGTCTGCAAGTGGACATTTTAGAGCTTTGGGACAACTGTGGAAAAGTAAATATCTTCACATAAAAACTACACGGAAGCATTCTGAGAAACTTCTTTGGAGGTGTGCATTCAACTCACAGAGTTGAACCTATCTTTTCATTGAGCAGTTTTGAATCTCTCATTTTGTAGACTCTGCTCGCAGATATTTGGAGAGCTTTGAGGCCTATTGTGGAAAAGGAAATATCTTCACATAAAAACACACAGAAGCACTCTGAGAAACTTCTTTGTGAGGTGTGCTTTCAACTCACAGAGTTGAACCTATCTTTTGATTGAGAAGTTTTGAATCTCTCTTTTTGTAGAAGCTGCATGTGGATATTTGGAGACGTTTGTGGCCTATGGTAGAAAAGGAAATATCTTCAAATAAAAACTAGACAGACGCATTTTGAGAAAATTCTCTGTGCTGTGTGCATTCATATCACATGGTTGAAACTACCTTTGGATTGAGCAGTTTTGAATCTCACTTTTTGTACCATCTGCAATGGATATTTGGAGCCCTTTCTGGTCTGTGGTGGAAAAGGAACTATCCTCAAATAGAAACTACACAGAAGTACTCTGAGAAACTTCTTTGTGATGTGGGCATTCATCTCACAGAGTTGAACCTTTGGTTTGATTGAGCAGTTTTGAGACAATCTTTCCATAGAATCTGGAAGTGAATATTTGGAGAACTTTGAGATCCATTTTGGAGAAGGAGATATCTTTATATAAAAACTACACAGAAGCATTCTGAGAAACATCCTTGTGAGCTGTGCACTGAAGTCACAGAGTTGAAACTGTCTTTTGATTCAGCAGTTTTGAATCTCTCTTTTTGCAGAATCTGTGAGTGGATATTTGGAGCGCTTTGAGGCCTACTGTGGAAAACCAAATATCTTCACATAAAAACTACACAGAAGCATCCTGAGAAACTTTTTTTGTGATGTGGTCTTTCAGCTAATGGAGTAGAAACTATCTTTTGATTGAGCAGTTTTGAATCTCTCTTTTTGCAGAATCTACGAGTGGATAATTGGAGAACTTTGAGGCGTACTGTGGAAAATCGAATATCTTCGCATAAAAACTACACAGAAGCATTCTGAGAAACTTCTCTGTCATACGTACATTCATCTCACAGGGTTGATCCTATTTCATGATTGAGCAGTTTTGGAACACTCTTTTTGTAGAATCTGCAAGTGAATATTTGGAGCTCTTTGGGGCCTACTGTGGAAAAACAAATATCTTCACATAAAAACTACACAGAAGCATTCTGAGAAACTACTTTGTGATGTGTGCATTCATCCCACAGAGTAGAACCTTTCTTTTGATTGAGCAGTTTCGAAACACGCTTTTGGTGGAATCTGCAAGTGGACATTTGGAAAGCTTTGAGGCCTATTGTGGAAAGGGAAATATCTTCAAATAAAAACCACCCAGAAGTACTCTGTGAAACTTCTTTGCGATGTATGCATTCAACTCACAGTGTTGAACCTATGTTTTGATTGAGCAGTTTGGAATCTCTCTTTCTGTAGAATCTGCAAGTGAATATTTGGAGCCCTATTTCGCCCTATACTGGAAAAGCAATTATCTTCAAATAAAAACTGCACAGAAGCATTCAGAGAAACTTCTTTGAGATGAATGCATTCATGACACAGAGTTGAAACTTTGTTTTGATTTAGGAGTTTTGAGACAATCTTTCCGTAGAATCTTGAAGTGAATATTTGGAGGGCTTGGAGTTCTGTTTTAGAGAAGGAGATATCTTCATCAAAAACTACACAGAAGCTTTCTGAGAAACTTCTTTGTGATGTGTGCATTCAACTATCGGAGTTGAACCTATCTTATGATTGAGGAGTTTGGAAACACTCTTTGTAGAGTCTGCAAGTGGATATTTACAGAGATTTGAGGCCTATTGTGGAAAAGGAAGTATCTTCACATAAAAACCACACAGAAGCACTCTGAAAAACATCTTTGGGATGTGTGCATTCAACTAACCGTGTTGAAACAATGTTTTGATTGAGCAGCTTAGAATCTCTCTTTTTGTAGGAAATGCAAGTGGATATTTGGAGCCCCATTTCGCCCTATGGTGGAAAACGAAACATACTCACAAAAAAGCTGCAGAGAAGCATTCTGAGAAACTTCTTTGCGATGTTGGCATTCAACTCACAGAGTCGAATCTATCTTTTGATAGAGCAGTTTTGTATCTCTCTTTTTGCAGAATCTGCAAGTGGATATTTGGAAAGCTTTGAGGCCTATTGTGGAAAGGGAAATATCCTCAAATAAAAACTACCCAGAAGCACTCTGTGAAACTTCTTTGTGATGTGTGCATTCAACTCACAGTGTTGAACCTATGTTTTGATTGAGCAGTTTGGAATCTCTCCTTTTGTAGAATCTGCAAGTGAATATTTGGAGCCCTATTTCGCCCTATACTGGAAAAGCAAATATCTTCAAATAAAAACTACACAGAGGCATTCAGAGAAACTTCTCTGTGATGAGTGCATTCATCACACAGAGTTGAACATTTGTTTAGATTTAGCAGTGTTGAGACAATCTTTCCGTAGAATCTTGAAGTGAATATTTGGAGGGCTTTGAGACCTGCTTTGGAGAAGGAGATATCTTCATATAAAAACTACACAGAAGCTTTCTGAGAAACACCCTTGTGAGGTGTGCATTGAAGTCACAGAGTTAAACCTATCTTTTGATTCAGCAGATTTGAATCTCTCTTTTTGCAGAATCTGCGAGTGGATATTTGGAGTGCTTGGAAGCCTGCTGTGGAAAATCAAATATCTTCACAAAAAAAACTACACAGAAGCATTCTGAGAAACTTCTTTGTGATGTGTGCATTGATCTCACAGAGTTGAAAGTTTATTTTGATTGAGCTGTTTTGAAACACTCTTTTTCTAGAATCTGCAAGTGGATAATTGGGGAGATTTGAGGCATATTGTGGAAAAGCAAATATCTTCATATAGAAACTATACAGAAACCTTCTGAGAAACATCTTTGTGATGTGTGCATTCAGCTCACAGAGCTGGACCTAACTTTTGAGTGACCAGTTTTGAATCTCTCTTTTTGTACAATATGCAAGTGGATATTTGGAGCGATTTGAGGCCTACATTTGAAAATCAAATATCTTCCCTTAAAAACTACACAGAAACATTCTCAGAAATTGTTTGTCATGTGTGCTTTCCAATTACCAAGTTGAACCTATCTTGTGATTGAGCAGTTTTGAATCTCTCTTTTTGTGGAATCGGCAAGTGGATATTTTTAGCCCTTTGCGGACTGTGGTGGAAAAGGAATTATCTTCAAATCAATTCTACACAGAAAGCATTCAGACAAACTTCTTTGTGATGAGTGCATTGGTCACACAGGAATTGAACCTTCCCTTTGATTGAGCAATT
Organism: Homo sapiens; assembly: GCF_000001405.40. NCBI lineage: Eukaryota > Metazoa > Chordata > Mammalia > Primates > Hominidae > Homo > Homo sapiens. The sequence continues at coordinate 17,741,571 of NC_000015.10, forward strand.
CTGAAACACTCTTTTGGAGGGTCTGCAAGTGGATATTTTAGAGCTTTGGGACAACTGTGGAAAAGTAAATATCTTCACATAAAAACTACACGGAAGCATTCTGAGAAACTTCTTTGGAGGTGTGCATTCAACTCACAGAGTTGAACCTATCTTTTCATTGAGCAGTTTTGAATCTCTCATTTTGTAGACTCTGCTCGCAGATATTTGGAGAGCTTTGAGGCCAATTGTGGAAAAGGAAATATCTTCACATAAAAACACACAGAAGCACTCTGAGAAACTTCTTTGTGAGGTGTGCTTTCAACTCACAGAGTTGAACCTATCTTTTGATTGAGAAGTTTTGAATCTCTCTTTTTGTAGAAGCTGCATGTGGATATTTGGAGACGTTTGTGGCCTATGGTAGAAAAGGAAATATCTTCAAATAAAAACTAGACAGACGCATTTTGAGAAAATTCTCTGTGCTGTGTGCATTCATATCACATGGTTGAAACTACCTTTGGATTGAGCAGTTTTGAATCTCACTTTTTGTACCATCTGCAATGGATATTTGGAGCCCTTTCTGGTCTGTGGTGGAAAAGGAACTATCCTCAAATAGAAACTACACAGAAGTACTCTGAGAAACTTCTTTGTGATGTGGGCATTCATCTCACAGAGTTGAACCTTTGGTTTGATTGAGCAGTTTTGAGACAATCTTTCCATAGAATCTGGAAGTGAATATTTGGAGAACTTTGAGATCCATTTTGGAGAAGGAGATACCTTTATATGAAAACTACACAGAAGCATTCTGAGAAACATCCTTGTGAGGTGTGCACTGAAGTCACAGAGTTGAAACTGTCTTTTGATTCAGCAGTTTTGAATCTCTCTTTTTGCAGAATCTGTGAGTGGATATTTGGAGCGCTTTGAGGCCTACTGTGGAAAACCAAATATCTTCACATAAAAACTACACAGAAGCATCCTGAGAAACTTTTTTTGTGATGTGGTCTTTCAGCTAATGGAGTAGAAACTATCTTTTGATTGAGCAGTTTTGAATCTCTCTTTTTGCAGAATCTACGAGTGGATAATTGGAGAACTTTGAGGCGTACTGTGGAAAGTCGAATATCTTCGCATAAAAACTACACAGAAGCATTCTGAGAAACTTCTCTGTCATACGTACATTCATCTCACAGGGTTGATCCTATTTCATGATTGAGCAGTTTCGGAACACTCTTTTTGTAGAATCTGCAAGTGAATATTTGGAGCTCCTTGGGGCCTACTGTGGAAAAACAAATATCTTCACATAAAAACTACACAGAAGCATTCTGAGAAACTACTTTGTGATGTGTGCATTCATCCCACAGAGTAGAACCTTTCTTTTGATTGAGCAGTTTCGAAACACTCTTTTGGTGGAATCTGCAAGTGGACATTTGGAAAGCTTTGAGGCCTATTGTGGAAAGGGAAATATCTTCAAATAAAAACCACCCAGAAGTACTCTGTGAAACTTCTTTGCGATGTATGCATTCAACTCACAGTGTTGAACCTATGTTTTGATTGAGCAGTTTGGAATCTCTCTTTCTGTAGAATCTGCAAGTGAATATTTGGAGCCCTATTTCGCCCTATACTGGAAAAGCAATTATCTTCAAATAAAAACTGCACAGAAGCACTCAGAGAAACTTCTTTGTGATGAATGCATTCATCACACAGAGTTGAACCTTTGTTTTGATTTAGCAGTTTGAGACAATCTTTCCGTAGAATCTTGAAGTGAATATTTGGAGGGCTTGGAGTTCTGTTTTAGAGAAGAAGATATCTTCATCAAAAACTACACAGAAGCTTTCCGAGAAACTTCTTTGTGATGTGTGCATTCAACTATCGGAGTTGAACCTATCTTATGATTGAGGAGTTTGGAAACACTCTTTGTAGAGTCTGCAAGTGGATATTTAAAGAGATTTGAGGCCTATTGTGGAAAAGGAAGTATCTTCACATAAAAACCACACAGAAGCACTCTGAAAAACATCTTTGGGATGTGTGCATTCAACTAACCGTGTTGAAACAATGTTTTGATTGAGCAGCTTAGAATCTCTCTTTTTGTAGGAAATGCAAGTGGATATTTGGAGCCCCATTTCGCCCTATGGTGGAAAACGAAACATACTCACAAAAAAGCTGCAGAGAAGCATTCTGAGAAACTTCTTTGCGATGTTGGCATTCAACTCACAGAGTCGAATCTATCTTTTGATAGAGCAGTTTTGTATCCCTCTTTTTGCAGAATCTGCAAGTGGATATTTGGAAAGCTTTGAGGCCTATTGTGGAAAGGGAAATATCCTCAAATAAAAACTACCCAGAAGCACTCTGTGAAACTTCTTTGTGATGTGTGCATTCAACTCACAGTGTTGAACCTATGTTTTGATTGAGCAGTTTGGAATCTCTCCTTTTGTAGAATCTGCAAGTGAATATTTGGAGCCCTATTTCGCCCTATACTGGAAAAGCAAATATCTTCAAATAAAAACTACACAGAGGCATTCAGAGAAACTACTCTGTGATGAGTGCATTCATCACACAGAGTTGAACATTTGTTTAGATTTAGCAGTGTTGAGACAATCTTTCCGTAGAATCTTGAAGTGAATATTTGGAGGGCTTTGAGACCTGCTTTGGAAAAGGAGATATCTTCATATAAAAACTACACAGAAGCTTTCTGAGAAACACCCTTGTGAGGTGTGCATTGAAGTCACAGAGTTAAACCTATCTTTTGATTCAGCAGATTTGAATCTCTCTTTTTGCAGAATCTGCGAGTGGATATTTGGAGTGCTTGGAAGCCTGCTGTGGAAAATCAAATATCTTCACAAAAAAAACTACACAGAAGCATTCTGAGAAACTTCTTTGTGATGTGTGCATTGATCTCACAGAGTTGAAAGTTTATTTTGATTGAGCTGTTTTGAAACACTCTTTTTCTAGAATCTGCAAGTGGATAATTGGGGAGATTTGAGGCATATTGTGGAAAGGCCAATATCTTCATATAGAAACTATACAGAAACCATCTGAGAAACATCTTTGTGATGTGTGCATTCAGCTCACAGAGCTGGACCTAACTTTTGAGTGACCAGTTTTGAATCTCTCTTTTTGTACAATATGCAAGTGGATATTTGGAGCGATTTGAGGCCTACATTTGAAAATCAAATATCTTCCCTTAAAAACTACACAGAAGCATTCTCAGAAATTGTTTGTCATGTGTGCTTCCTAATCACCGAGTTGAACCTATCTTGTGATTGAGCAGTTTTGAATCTCCCTTTTTGTAGAATCTGCAAGTGGATATTTTTAGTCCTTTGTAGACTGTGGTGGAAAAGAAATTATCTTGAAATCAATTCTACACAGAAGCATTCAGACAAACTTCTTTGTGATGAGTGCATTCGTCACACAGAGTTGATCCTTTCCTTTGATTGAGCAACTCTGAAACACTCTTTTAGAGGGTCTGCAAGTGGATATTTTAGAGCTTTGGGACAATTGTGGAAAAGTAAATATCTTCACATAAAAACTACACAGAAGCATTCTGAGAAACTTCTTTGTGAGATGTGCATTCAACTCACAGAGTTGAACCTATCTTTTCATTGAGCAGTTTTGAATCTCTCTTTTTGTAGACTCTGCTTGCGGATATTTGGAGAGCTTTGAGGCCTATTGTGGAAAAGGAAATATCTTCACATAAAAACACACAGAAGCATTCTGAGAAACTTCTTTGTGAGGTGTGCATTCAACCACAGAGTTGAACCTATCTTTTGATTGAGCAGTTTTGAATCTCTCTTTTTGTAGAAGCTGCATGTGGCTATTTGGAGACGTTTGTGGCCTATGGTGGAAAAGGAAATACCTTCAAAAAAAACTAGACAGAAGCATTCTGAGAAACTTCTTTGTGAGGTGTGCATTCAACCACAGAGTTGAACCTATCTTTTGATTGAGCAGCTTTGAATCTCTCTTTTTGTACCATCTGCAAGTGGATATTTGGAGCCCTTTGTGGTCTATGGTGGAAAAGGAACTATCCTCAAATAAAAACTACACAGAAGTATTCTGAGAAACTTCTTCGTGATGTGTGCATTCATCTCACAGAGTTGAACCTTTGTTTTGCTTGAGCAGTTTTGAGACCATCTTTCCATAGGATCTGGAAGTGAATATTTGGAGGGCTTTGAGATCTATTTTGGAGAAGGAGATATCTTCATATAAAAACTACACAGAAGCATTCTGAGAAACATCTTTGTGAGGTGTGCACTGAAGTCACAGAGTTAAAACTACCTTTTGATTCAGCAGTTTTGAATCTCTCTTTTTGCAGAATCTGTGAGTGAATATTTGGAGCGCTTTGTGGCCTACTGTGGAAAACCAAATATCTTCACATAAAAACTACACAGAAGCATTCTGAGAAACTTCTTTGTGATGTGGTCTTTCAACTAATAGAGTTGAACCTATCTTTCGATTGAGCAGTTTTGAATCTCTCTTTTTGCAGAATCTGCAAGTGGATATTTGGAGAACTTTGAGGTCTACTGTGGAAAATCAAATATCTTCCCATAAAAACTGCACAGAAGCATTCTGAGAAACTTCTTTGTCATACGTACATTCACAGGGTTGATCCTATTTTATTATTGAGCACTTTTGAAACACTCTTTTTGTAGAATCTGCAAGTGAATATTTGGAGCTCATTGGGGCCTACTGTGGAAAAACCAATATCTTCACATAAAAACTACACAGAAGCATTCTGAGCAAACTACTTTGTGATGTGTGCATTCATCCCACAGAGTAGAACCTTTCTTTTGATTGAGCAGTTTCGAAACACTCTTTTGGTGGAATCTGCAAGTGGACATTTGGAAAGCTTTGAGGCCTATTGTGGAAAGGGAAATATCTTCAAATAAAAACCACCCAGAAGTACTCTGTGAAACTTCTTTGCGATGTATGCATTCAACTCACAGTGTTGAACCTATGTTTTGATTGAGCAGTTTGGAATCTCTCTTTCTGTAGAATCTGCAAGTGAATATTTGGAGCCCTATTTCGCCCTATACTGGAAAAGCAATTATCTTCAAATAAAAACTGCACAGAAGCACTCAGAGAAACTTCTTTGTGATGAATGCATTCATCACACAGAGTTGAACCTTTGTTTTGATTTAGCAGTTTGAGACAATCTTTCCGTAGAATCTTGAAGTGAATATTTGGAGGGCTTGGGGTTCTGTTTTAGAGAAGGAGATATCTTCATCAAAAACTACACAGAAGCTTTCCGAGAAACTTCTTTGTGATGTGTGCATTCAGCTATCGGAGTTGAACCTATCTTATGATTGAGCAGTTTGGAAACACTCTTTGTAGAGTCTGCAAGTGGATATTTACAGAGATTTGAGGCCTATTGTGGAAAAGGAAGTATCTTCACATAAAAACCACACAGAAGCACTCTGAAAAACATCTTTGGGATGTGTGCATTCAACTAACCGTGTTGAAACAATGTTTTGATTGAGCAGCTTAGAATCTCTCTTTTTGTAGGAAATGCAAGTGGATATTTGGAGCCCCATTTCGCCCTATGGTGGAAAACGAAACATACTCACAAAAAAGCTGCAGAGAAGCATTCTGAGAAACTTCTTTGCGATGTTGGCATTCAACTCACAGAGTCGAATCTATCTTTTGATAGAGCAGTTTTGTATCTCTCTTTTTGCAGAATCTGCAAGTGGATATTTGGAAAGCTTTGAGGCCTATTGTGGAAAGGGAAATATCCTCAAATAAAAACTACCCAGAAGCACTCTGTGAAACTTCTTTGTGATGTGTGCATTCAACTCACAGTGTTGAACCTATGTTTTGATTGAGCAGTTTGGAATCTCTCCTTTTGTAGAATCTGCAAGTGAATATTTGGAGCCCTATTTCGCCCTATACTGGAAAAGCAAATATCTTCAAATAAAAACTACACAGAGGCATTCAGAGAAACTTCTCTGTGATGAGTGCATTCATCACACAGAGTTGAACATTTGTTTAGATTTAGCAGTGTTGAGACAATCTTTCCGTAGAATCTTGAAGTGAATATTTGGAGGGCTTTGAGACCTGCTTTGGAGAAGGAGATATCTTCATATAAAAACTACACAGAAGCTTTCTGAGAAACACCCTTGTGAGGTGTGCATTGAAGTCACAGAGTTAAACCTATCTTTTGATTCAGCAGATTTGAATCTCTCTTTTTGCAGAATCTGCGAGTGGATATTTGGAGTGCTTGGAAGCCTGCTGTGGAAAATCAAATATCTTCACAAAAAAAACTACACAGAAGCATTCTGAGAAACTTCTTTGTGATGTGTGCATTGATCTCACAGAGTTGAAAGTTTATTTTGATTGAGCTGTTTTGAAACACTCTTTTTCTAGAATCTGCAAGTGGATAATTGGGGAGATTTGAGGCATATTGTGGAAAAGCAAATATCTTCATATAAAAACTATACAGAAACCTTCTGAGAAACATCTTTGTGATGTGTGCATTCAGCTCACAGAGCTGGACCTAACTTTGGAGTGACCAGTTTTGAATCTCTCTTTTTGTACAATATGCAAGTGGATATTTGGAGCGATTTGAGGCCTACATTTGAAAATCAAATATCTTCCCTTAAAAACTACACAGAAACATTCTCAGAAATTGTTTGTCATGTGTGCTTTCCAATTACCAAGTTGAACCTATCTTGTGATTGAGCAGTTTTGAATCTCTCTTTTTGTGGAATCGGCAAGTGGATATTTTTAGCCCTTTGCGGACTGTGGTGGAAAAGGAATTATCTTCAAATCAATTCTACACAGAAGCATTCAGACAAACTTCTTTGTGATGAGTGCATTGGTCACACAGAATTGAACCTTCCCTTTGATTGAGCAATTCTGAAACACTCTTTTGGAGGGTCTGCAAGTGGATATTTTAGAGCTTTGGGACAACTGTGGAAAAGTAAATATCTTCACATAAAAACTACACGGAAGCATTCTGAGAAACTTCTTTGGAGGTGTGCATTCAACTCACAGAGTTGAACCTATCTTTTCATTGAGCAGTTTTGAATCTCTCATTTTGTAGACTCTGCTCGCAGATATTTGGAGAGCTTTGAGGCCTATTGTGGAAAAGGAAATATCTTCACATAAAAACACACAGAAGCACTCTGAGAAACTTCTTTGTGAGGTGTGCTTTCAACTCACAGAGTTGAACCTATCTTTTGATTGAGAAGTTTTGAATCTCTCTTTTTGTAGAAGCTGCATGTGGATATTTGGAGACGTTTGTGGCCTATGGTAGAAAAGGAAATATCTTCAAATAAAAACTAGACAGACGCATTTTGAGAAAATTCTCTGTGCTGTGTGCATTCATATCACATGGTTGAAACTACCTTTGGATTGAGCAGTTTTGAATCTCACTTTTTGTACCATCTGCAATGGATATTTGGAGCCCTTTCTGGTCTGTGGTGGAAAAGGAACTATCCTCAAATAGAAACTACACAGAAGTACTCTGAGAAACTTCTTTGTGATGTGGGCATTCATCTCACAGAGTTGAACCTTTGGTTTGATTGAGCAGTTTTGAGACAATCTTTCCATAGAATCTGGAAGTGAATATTTGGAGAACTTTGAGATCCATTTTGGAGAAGGAGATATCTTTATATGAAAACTACACAGAAGCATTCTGAGAAACATCCTTGTGAGGTGTGCACTGAAGTCACAGAGTTGAAACTGTCTTTTGATTCAGCAGTTTTGAATCTCTCTTTTTGCAGAATCTGTGAGTGGATATTTGGAGCGCTTTGAGGCCTACTGTGGAAAACCAAATATCTTCACATAAAAACTACACAGAAGCATCCTGAGAAACTTTTTTTGTGATGTGGTCTTTCAGCTAATGGAGTAGAAACTATCTTTTGATTGAGCAGTTTTGAATCTCTCTTTTTGCAGGATCTACGAGTGGATAATTGGAGAACTTTGAGGCGTACTGTGGAAAATCGAATATCTTCGCATAAAAACTACACAGAAGCATTCTGAGAAACTTCTCTGTCATACGTACATTCGTCTCACAGGGTTGATCCTATTTCATGATTGAGCAGTTTTGGAACACTCTTTTTGTAGAATCTGCAAGTGAATATTTGGAGCTCTTTGGGGCCTACTGTGGAAAAACAAATATCTTCACATAAAAACTACACAGAAGCATTCTGAGAAACTACTTTGTGATGTGTGCATTCATCCCACAGAGTAGAACCTTTCTTTTGATTGAGCAGTTTCGAAACACTCTTTTGGTGGAATCTGCAAGTGGACATTTGGAAAGCTTTGAGGCCTATTGTGGAAAGGGAAATATCTTCAAATAAAAACCACCCAGAAGTACTCTGTGAAACTTCTTTGCGATGTATGCATTCAACTCACAGTGTTGAACCTATGTTTTGATTGAGCAGTTTGGAATCTCTCTTTCTGTAGAATCTGCAAGTGAATATTTGGAGCCCTATTTCGCCCTATACTGGAAAAGCAATTATCTTCAAATAAAAACTGCACAGAAGCACTCAGAGAAACTTCTTTGTGATGAATGCATTCATCACACAGAGTTGAACCTTTGTTTTGATTTAGCAGTTTGAGACAATCTTTCCGTAGAATCTTGAAGTGAATATTTGGAGGGCTTGGAGTTCTGTTTTAGAGAAGAAGATATCTTCATCAAAAACTACACAGAAGCTTTCCGAGAAACTTCTTTGTGATGTGTGCATTCAACTATCGGAGTTGAACCTATCTTATGATTGAGGAGTTTGGAAACACTCTTTGTAGAGTCTGCAAGTGGATATTTACAGAGATTTGAGGCCTATTGTGGAAAAGGAAGTATCTTCACATAAAAACCACACAGAAGCACTCTGAAAAACATCTTTGGGATGTGTGCATTCAACTAACCGTGTTGAAACAATGTTTTGATTGAGCAGCTTAGAATCTCTCTTTTTGTAGGAAATTCAAGTGGATATTTGGAGCCCCATTTCGCCCTATGGTGGAAAACGAAACATACTCACAAAAAAGCTGCAGAGAAGCATTCTGAGAAACTTCTTTGCGATGTTGGCATTCAACTCACAGAGTCGAATCTATCTTTTGATAGAGCAGTTTTGTATCTCTCTTTTTGCAGAATCTGCAAGTGGATATTTGGAAAGCTTTGAGGCCTATTGTGGAAAGGGAAATATCCTCAAATAAAAACTACCCAGAAGCACTCTGTGAAACTTCTTTGTGATGTGTGCATTCAACTCACAGTGTTGAACCTATGTTTTGATTGAGCAGTTTGGAATCTCTCCTTTTGTAGAATCTGCAAGTGAATATTTGGAGCCCTATTTCGCCCTATACTGGAAAAGCAAATATCTTCAAATAAAAACTACACAGAGGCATTCAGAGAAACTTCTCTGTGATGAGTGCATTCATCACACAGAGTTGAACATTTGTTTAGATTTAGCAGTGTTGAGACAATCTTTCCGTAGAATCTTGAAGTGAATATTTGGAGGGCTTTGAGACCTGCTTTGGAGAAGGAGATATCTTCATATAAAAACTACACAGAAGCTTTCTGAGAAACACCCTTGTGAGGTGTGCATTGAAGTCACAGAGTTAAACCTATCTTTTGATTCAGCAGATTTGAATCTCTCTTTTTGCAGAATCTGCAAGTGGATATTTGGAGTGCTTGGAAGCCTGCTGTGGAAAATCAAATATCTTCACAAAAAAAACTACACAGAAGCATTCTGAGAAACTTCTTTGTGATGTGTGCATTGATCTCACAGAGTTGAAAGTTTAATTTGATTGAGCTGTTTTGAAACACTCTTTTTCTAGAATCTGCAAGTGGATAATTGGGGAGATTTGAGGCATATTGTGGAAAAGCCAATATCTTCATATAAAAACTATACAGAAACCTTCTGAGAAACATCTTTGTGATGTGTGCATTCAGCTCACAGAGCTGGACCTAACTTTTGAGTGACCAGTTTTGAATCTCTCTTTTTGTACAATATGCAAGTGGATATTTGGAGCGATTTGAGGCCTACATTTGAAAATCAAATATCTTCCCTTAAAAACTACACAGAAACATTCTCAGAAATTGTTTGTCATGTGTGCTTTCCAATTACCAAGTTGAACCTATCTTGTGATTGAGCAGTTTTGAATCTCTCTTTTTGTGGAATCGGCAAGTGGATATTTTTAGCCCTTTGCGGACTGTGGTGGAAAAGGAATTATCTTCAAATCAATTCTACACAGAAGCATTCAGACAAACTTCTTTGTGATGAGTGCATTGGTCACACAGAATTGAACCTTCCCTTTGATTGAGCAATTCTGAAACACTCTTTTGGAGGGTCTGCAAGTGGATATTTTAGAGCTTTGGGACAACTGTGGAAAAGTAAATATCTTCACATAAAAACTACACGGA